>NC_000005.10:22732063-23035093 GCF_000001405.40 Homo sapiens | reverse complement strand
TTTGTAGCCTGACAATGCAATAGAAAAGAAAATCCCATTTTCTGAGGAGAAATTCAAGCTGGCTGCAGAAATTTTCATAAGTAATGAGAAGCCAAATGTTAATCACTAAGGCAATGGGAAAAACACCTCTAGGGCATGTCAGAGACCTTTCCAGTAGCCCCTTCCATCATAGGCCCAGAGGCCTAGGAGGAAAAGCATGGTTTGGTGGGCCAGGCCTAGGGCCTTGCTGCTTTGTGCAGTCTCAGGACTTGGTGCCCTGCATCCAAGCCATGGCTAAAAGGGGCCAACATAGAGCTCAGGCCATTGCTTCAGAGGGTTCAAACCTCAAACCTTGGCAGCTTCCCCATGGTGTCGGGCCCGTGGGTGCACAGAAGTCAAGAACTGAAGTTTAGGAACATCCGTCTAGATTTTAGAGGATGTATGAAAACACCTGGATAGCCAGGCAGAAGTCTGCTTCAGGGGCAGAGCCCTCATGGACAACCTCTGCTAGGGCAGTGCAGAAAGGAATGTGGGGTTGGAGTCCCCACACAGAGTTTTCATTGGGGCACTGCCTAGTGGAGCTGTGAGAAGATGGCCACCACCCTCCAGACCCCAGAATGGTAGATCCACCGAAAGCTTGCACCGTGTGCCTGGAAAAGCTGCAGACACTCAATGCCTGCCCATGAAAACAGCCAGGAAGGGGGCTGCAAAGCCACAGGGATGAGCTGCCCAAGACCATGGAAACCCATCTCTTGCATCAGCATGACTTGGATGTGAGACATGGAGTCAAAATAGATCATTTTGGAGTTTTAATATTTGACTGCTGTTCTGGACTTTGGACTTGCATGGGGCCTGCAGCTCCTTTGTTTTAGCCAGTTTCTCCCATTTGGAACATGCGTATTCAGCCAATGCCTGTAACCCCATTGTACCTAAGAAATAACTAACTTGCTTTTGCTTTTATAGGCTCATAGGCAGAAGGGACTTTCCTTGTCTCAGATGAGACTTTGGACTGTGGACTTTTGAGTTAATGTGGAAATGAGTTAAGACTTTGGGCAACCATTGAGAGGGCATGATTTGTTTTGAAATGTGAGATTTGGGATTGGCAAGGGGCAGAATGATATGGTTTGGCTTTGTCCCTACCCAAATCTCAACTAGAATTGTAATAATCCCCACATGTCATGGGTGAGGCCAGGTGGAGGTAATTGAATCATGGGGGCAGTTTCCCCCATACTGTTCTCATGGTAGTTAATAAGTCTCAGGAGATCTGATGGTTTTATAAATGGGATTTCCCCTTCACAAGCTCTCGTCTTTGCTTCTTCTTTGCCTTCCTCCATGATTGTGAGGCCTCCCCAGCCATGTGGAACTGTGAGCCCATTAAACCTCTTTCATTTATAAATTACCCAGTCTCAGGTATATCTTAATCAGCAGTGTGAGAACAGACTAATACAAGCTGCTATAGAAAATTACCATCGACTTGGTGGGTTAAAAAACAGACATTTATTTCTCACAGTTCAGGTGGCTGGAAATCCAAGATCAGTGTGCCAGCATGGTCAGTTCCTACTGAAAGCCCTATTTCAGGTTATAGACAGCCATCTTCTCCTTGTATCCTCACATGACAGAAACAGCACAAGAGAGATCCCTGGGGTCTTCTTAATAAGGGCACTAATCCCATTCATAAGCCTAATCAACGTTCAAAGCCCCCACTTCCAAATAGCATCACATTAAGGATTCAATTTCAACAATTTTGGAGAGATGCAATATTCTAGAAATACCATAACACATGGAAAGATTCAAAATTTAGCATTTATATGGATTAATTGAATAATCTCTGCTTATCCTTTGATAAATAAGAGTTAATTCTAATTCATTTGCTGATGTAATTCAATAAATTGGTAAATGCCAAGCTAAATTCCCAAACCTTCATTATTTAAACAGGGAAGTGGCATCAAATAAAGCATAGTTTGAGGATATTTATTGTCATGAACCTTAGGACAATTTCAAACCATAGCAAGGTAGAATATAAAGTAACACAGTAGATTATTCAATTTTCAATATTCTTATACCCAATCCAATCTCAACATTGCTGTATCAGTTCCTCAAGACAGAGTTACCCCTGATATCTTAAAGAATTTTTCTAATTTTAATTATATGTTCAACCCACAAATAATAATTTAAGCAATTATTTTTGTTTAATGCATTTTTGTCTCATATTTGCTTATTTTGCTTACTTATTGGTGATGCTTTGGTAATTTGAATCACAGAGTTTTGTGTCTTTTGCTAGTTTAGGTTGTGACCATTTGCTAAAGAAAACATTTAAAATTCAAGACAAATTTGAACAATAGAAGAATGATTATCCACAAAGAACAAGCTTATATGCTTTGATTATTGCTTTAAATCTTAATTTACATTAAACTGACATACTCTTGGATTTTATAAATCTCTTGCTTTTACATAGAGCTTTTTAAAGCTTTACTTTACAATCAATTCTTTTTTTCTCAAAAGCAGGTGTTCTAGTGTTGTGTTGTCTAATATGGTGGCCACTAATCCTATCTGGCTATGTAAATGTGCATTTATAATTTTATAATTAAGTAAAATTAAAAATTATATTCCTCAGTAACATTATAACTATTTTAAGTGTTCAATAGCCACTTGTAACCTGTGGATACCATCATAGACAGCACAGAATATCTCCATTCAGTGTATAAATTTCTATTAGTAGGAATGCTCTAGGGGACATTTTCTACTTTATCCAATTCAAGAATCATTAACCAACAGATATACATCACAACTTAATTGTTTATGTTATTAATTTTTTAAAAACATTGTTAAATTTTTTTCTCACTTTTGTTTGTGCATATTTCTCCTTGGCTCTCTTGTTACTTTGGTTATCTCTCTGTGTTTCTCTCTTTTTTTTTAAAACAATGCCCCTTCTATGATGGCTTATGACATTAACCACTGCATGAGTTACAACATTCAATGCAAGTCTTTCTTAATATTTTCTTACTCTATCAATTCTTATGGAAGCAACATAAAATCTAGGAGAATACTGAGTTTTGCATAGCTAACATTCTGTGACATAGATAACAGACCATTATTTATTTTAAAAAGTTAAACAATAACTGTGTTAACATAGGTTTTTCATCTCATGTCCAAGCAAAGGCAAACAAAAATGTTCAATTAAGTTTGGATCAGGTTTATTTTGGGTTTATTTGCTCCCTACTTTGATTTTCTCTTTATACCTTTTTATTCACTTGTATTTTTATTTTACACAAGTCAAAAATGATAGAGATAAAGCATATGCTGCTAAATTTATTTCTTCATTCACGGTATTGCATTTGATTTTCAGTCATTTGGATTTTGAGGTATCTGGCTTTAACTCACACTTTAAGATATTTAGATTTACAAAATGTATTTTATAAACAAATATTTATGTAGAGCCTATATGAACCAGTCACTCTGCTGAACAAAGAATTTGAATGAGAGAAAGAAATAGGTATTGTAGCTATCAGAAGAAGGAACATTCTAGGTGTTGGATGTTTTTAGCCCTAACACCCTGAGATTTGGAAGAATAAAAAAGCTAGTGTAACCAGAGAAGAGCCAATAAATAGACACATAGCAGAAAACAATTCAAACAGGAGCATAAATCAGGTAGAGAACTGAAAGCAAAGTGTTGGGACTAAACATTGTCTAGTCGAGGAGTGGTAAGAACTGACTTCTTTTATGAATTGATTGATCTCATACTTTGTTGGCAATAGACTTCAAGCTTGAAAAAGATGGAAGGAGGAGGAGAAGAGGGAACTCCTGTATGTATTCAGAGAAGGTCTGTTAGTAGCTTGACCAGAAAATTTGTGATACAGACAATGAGAAGAGGACAGATTCTGGATACACTTTGAAAGTGGAACCATCAGAATTTTCTCATGGATAGGAAATGCAAAGTGAAAGCGGACAAAGAGAAAACATGGTTCTAAGTAGTGACCTGGGCATCTAGATTGAAGGATCAGCCATTAAATGAGATGAGAAAGAGTAAATGAAGTAGCTCTCCCCCTTCCCCAAAAGAGTGGACCAAAGGTAAGATGAAGAAGTAAATTTGTTAATTTCAGCAAATAAAGATATTTAATACCATGAAGTTAGTTGAAATCACTAAAAAAGAAAATATAGAGAAATATGTCCCCCAGATGGAACCTGAGGCATTTCTCTATTATAAAGCCCTAAATATGAGGAAGAAGCAGCAGAGGATACAGTGAAGATATAGGGAGACAATTCAGTGAAAACTGGAAAGTATTTCAATAAATGGAGAATAGTTACTTGGGTCAAAGGACTGCTAACTGCCAAGAAAGATAATAGGATTTATCAAAGATTCTGGGAAATTCTAATAAAGGCATGGATACAAAAGCCCAATTAAACAGTGTATAAGGGAGAATGGGGAAGGTAGGATTTGAAGAAAGTGTGTGGAAAACCCTGTTGAGGATTTTTGCCACATAATGGAAGAGAAAGATTTCTAGAAAAAGAAGTGGAGATAAAATTGTTTGTTTGTTTCTTTGTTTTGAGACAGAGACTCACTCTATTGTCCAGGCTGGAGTGCAGTGGTGCGATCTTGGCTCACTGCAACCTCCATCTCCCAGGTTCAAGTGGTTCTCCTCCCTCAGCCTCCTGAGTAGCTGGAATTACAGGTGCCTGCCACCATGCCTGGCTAATGTTTGTATTTTTAGTTGAGATGGGGTTTCATCATGTTGGCCAGGCAGATCTCAACTCCTGACCTCAAGTGATCCACCCACCTTGGACTCCCAAAGTGCTGAGATTACAGCTGTGAACCGCTGCACCAGGCCGAGACATTTTTTCTTTTTAATGAGAGAAATAATGTCATATTAGTATGTTCTTAGGAATGAGAAACGAGCCAATAGAGAAAAGTTGATGATGCAAGAAAGAAAAGTAAGAATGGAAAAGTTGATAAAAACAAAAGAAAACAAAACAGAATCTGATCCCAGACAGGAAAAAAGCAAAGCGTTCATCCTTCATAGCAGGAAGACAAGAAGAACATACAATGCCTATGCTGAGATATGGCCCCACATCATAAGAAGTTCTAAAAGCTCTCTTCTGGTTTGTTCTCTCTTCTGGGTCATGTGTAAAACCAGATCACTGACTGAACAGGATTTATTATAGACATGAGGAGCAAAAAAATGTATAAAATGGTATTCTAGGAAAGAGGAAAAGTAAACTGTTAGGCATTGGAGGTATATACAAGATTGATGGTCACAACAAAATTGAAAACCACTTACTAGTAAGAATGATTATTTTTTTTTGCTCCTCACACTGAGCTGAAAGAATGTAGGCTTGGATTAGGTAAATGATTGTATTTAAACATGATATGTGTGTTTATACTTTTTTAAGCTATCAAAAGGTAAAAGAGGGGCAAGGGAGTTGAGGGTGCATTTACAGAATGTTTATACAATTTAAGCAATGAGGAAAGAGATGATATTTAAGAGTTGTGGGACAACAATCAAGTAAATGAATTATAGATGATGATGGGCTGTAAGGATTTGCATGACAGGGAGTAAATGAGAAAAACAGGGTGTGAATTAGACTGAGTGTGATGTCTGAAACAGATTATGGGGCAATGTATGTTTCTGGAATTCAAAACTATTACACAACAATAAGTGACTGAGCCAACATGGAAAAGAGCACTGGAGGAGAGAGATTTAATGAACTCAGAAACCCTTCATAGCAGAAAGGATGCAGAAAGCTGATTTTTCTAGATAATAAAATTAACAAGAACCAAGAAAGCAGTTATGTTGAAGAGAGTGATAGTGAAACAGTGGCTAAAATGTATGAAAACTGAGGGATGTGACTAGCAACCAGCAGATGCTTGCAGAATAGAGGGGTATGAAGCAGCATAGACTGATGACACGCAATTTGGAGATCAGGGCTTTTTAAGTAGAAAGGAGGCATGGCATTGAGGAAGAGACAGACACCTATACAGTATGGTAAATATAAATGTGTGATCATGGGTGTAAAAATGTACATGATGTTTTAAAATCAAATAAAGTGTATGGTATCTTGCAGAATTTAAGAATGCTTGCTTTCCTCATCTTTCCTTTTCTCATCTTTTCTTCTTAAGTGCTTTCATCTCTTAGACCTCATTCCACCTGCAGCGTGAAATTGTCTGGGACTAGTATGAGCTCTATCATTGCATACTTGATTGCCTGGCCTTGTTCTCAGGCTACTCTCTGAACTGCCTTATTGTTTCTCTGTAACCCCACTACCCGCTATGCAGAAGTTAAAGGCACATTTGATAGGTCTCAATATGTATGTCTTTTGTGCCGCTTCATGGTGTGAAAGTCCATTGCTCTTAACAGTTTTACTTCCCAGGGTAGCTCCACTTTTTTCTCCTTCAAATACATTGAACCCTAGTCTTTTGAGCATAAAGAGCAAAAGATAATATACCAGCTATAAATATACTCAGACAAGCCAGGCTGCTTATTTTCAGACTGAACATGCTGTTCTATTTCTACTACCTCTTATTAGAAAAAAAAAAAAGTGATGTAGGTCATTCTTCATTCACAACTGAGTTGGAAGAATTAGAAATATTTCAAAGTAAACCTGAGGGGGTGATTTAAAAAATCCAACCTAAATTAATTCTCATGGACTTAAGATTTTTTTTTAATATTTGAGCTTGTTTATCAAAAACAAACCATGTGATATAATTAGTCTCAGCTTAAATCCACGGAGGAATGTTCTCAATTTGATTGTGATGTATCACAATAACTGTGCTTTTGGTTACCGGATGGGAGAAAATGAAGTGTATTAAACTATGGTCAATGGAATTAACTATTTTATGCAATTTGATGTTTGATTTTAAGGGAACTCTGTAATAGGAACATTATTGAATCACTTTGGACATGCTCAGCTACATCCATCCCAGCTTTAGAGTGGTCAAATTTGTATGTGGCACTGCCCAGCATCCTTAATAGTGGCCAGTTTCATGCTAGCATCAATCAACAACCCCATGTTTCAGACTTCCACTATACTAGTATCGCCCTGTTGCTGTTAAGCAACAAGAAACGCACTGGGTAGCCACATATGACCAACCCAGAAGTGTAGGGAATTAACACCCCTAGGGTAAAGTGGCTAAGAAACTGCCAATAACGAGGTGTGAGAGCCAGGCCACTTACGTAGTTTACAAAAAGGCCCTCTTTTCCTGTAGTGAAAGAGTAGCCACAGCTGATTTTTAAGCTAATCAAAAATAATTGATCTTTATAGGCACACAATTCCAGAGATGTTGAAGTGCTCAACCAGGCAGATCAGTTTCGCAAGGTCAGGGTTCTGGCTGGGAAAGTCCCATACCTGGAAACATAGATTGGGATATCTCAAGGGACTCCCTTGGGTATATTATATGTGCAGGCACCCATGAAATGTGAGAGCTTGAAGAGTTGGTCCATGCTTCCTTATTACCAAATAGAATTTCTGCTGTTCTGAAAGATGCTGTAGAGACCTTTCCCAGACAAGGCAAGAATAGCACCCTCAGAAACTGCTCTCGCTTCTTCTGTCTGCCAGGACAATGGTTAATATCACATCACAGCATACACTATCTGTTGACGTGCTGGCACTGAAAAGTTTGGAAATAGGCCATACACTGATGCAGTTGCAAGAATTAGCTTGTAGATACTAGTAAGAGCCAGACAATTCTCTCTAAAACTGGATTTTGAGGATGTTTTATCAAGCAGCCTATTGGAATGTAACACTAGAAAAATAATTTTCTCAGCACATTGGATTAAATACCCTGGCCAGGACCACAGGCAAACGGAAAAGTCACTGCTGGATTGGCCCTTGAAAGCCTGGAAAATGATGGTCGATATTTAATACAGTGGAAATTCCAGCATTTGCTCTGGTTAAGAAAGGGATACAGAGGCCTAGGAGAAGTATTCAGGATTGCTATTATGTAAGGCCAGAAGACCCACCAGAGAATTCTACCCACCTAGGACAGCCCACAGACACACTGTTAGGAATGTATTGATGAGAGGGACACCTGCTTCATGAAGAAGTTCAGTCGTGGTTCTCTGAAGAGCAGGGCTGATGGTGGGAAAAACGATCACACAATCGCAGATCAGGGCTCATTAATATCCATGGGAATGATGAGCCCCAGAGTACTAGAGGCCAGATGGCAGTGCTTAACCAGAAGAAACCAGGAAGCTTTAATTAGCATAATGACTAGCAGGATTGAAAGGGAGCTGAGGAGCTTTGATCCTCACTGAGTTTGGTGATAGTTAACAGAGCATGATGCTCCAAGTACAAAACATGCAACCAACAGGATGTTGTTTGACATATATACCCCCAAAAGACAAAAACAGATGAGCAAGAAGCAGAAGGTGGTTGTTCCCATAAAGAGTTATGTTCCCTGGCTTATTTCCCAGACGTGAGCCAATTTCACAATCCAGAAAGATTTGCCTAAGGAGCCCTTTCTAAGATGGGTTCCTATAACATTGTGGCAAATATATACTGGCATCATTATCCTAGTCTTTCCCCATGGAGATCTATAAACCATTTACTCAAGTGATTTTGCACTGTACAGAGTCCCTAAGTTGGCCATGACACCAGGAGCCCCAAAGAATCACTCTGAGCCCTTTATAGAGAGGGGGTTTTCATGAGTCAGGTAATAAACTCCTGGCTAACTTCCAGATCACAGAGGAACCAAACATGGGGTGAGAATAACACAGAGGTCATTTCTCAGGTCTCTGAATGCATACTTGAATTTGTCTTCTTGGCAGTTCGAAAAAAACAAAAACACATCTGGTCCCTGCCCTTTAAGGGAAGTGTTCTCATAGTGAAGAAGCCTATATGCAAAATTCTAAAACTGTCCCCTACTCTAGTCCAGGTTCTATATTAAAAACCAATATTGTATCCAAGGGAAACCACAAAGATTAGTAACACTGAAGGCCTACAGTGGTCACTGGGGATCATTCCTATCATCTATCCATCTAATTCACAAGATTGGCCTGCACACACACTGAATGGATCTCAGAGAAGAACTGCAGCTTACAGCAGACTTCACAAGCAGAACTGGTTGCAGTTGCTGTGCAGAGTGCTATTATTGCTGAAGCATATTCATAAATCCTTGGGTATGTAACATGCAAGCATTGATGTCATGAATATATTATTTTCTATTCTCATGAGAAAAGTGAATCAGAGACAGTTTACATTTACATGAGCTGCAGAAAAATCTTCATTTACAGTTTTGTTTTAGAGCTATGTAATATGTCTTGCCATCTGTCATAACATAATCCAAAGCTAGCTGGGTGGTTTGGACATCTCCCAGAACATCACCTTGTTTTATTGTATCGATGACATCACACTATTGGACAGAATGAATAAAAGGTTGCTCCTACATTGGAGAACTTCACAAGACAACTGGACTTCAGAGGGTGAGAGATAAACCCTCTAAAAATTCAGAGAATTATCTCTTCAGTGATATTTCTAAGGATGAAGTGAACAAGTGCTTGCTAGTATATCTGTGGTGGGACATTTTTTTTCAAGGATCACTCATGTTTTTGTGCTTCTTGCATCCAGAGACTCTGACAGCCTTTATTACAGACTAGCTTTTCAATACTGTTTGTATACAAAATAGCCTTGGAATACAGAAAGAGTGTTTCCCTTCAACAGAAAAGGGCAAGCTTGTTTACTGCTCAGTATAAGAAAAATAATGCCCCCATCGAGAACAAAGGACAGCACTATTGTAAAAGGTTTGAGTGCTTAGGCTCAAAGTTTCCTCCGATGTGGTACAAACTCACTGCCTGCACAGAATCCATCTATGTTTTTATGTGTTATCCCTAGGGCACATGGGCTGCCTTCTCTGTCATGAGTATCAACATCCTGTATATACGACCCTGGAGTCTCATGTCATCTTCCAGAATCCATGCAAGTCTGGCAGCCTAGCATTTTCTAATGTTCGCCTTGCAAAGTAAGATACAATTTCAGACCTTTCACAGGGTCTTGAAAGTTTTGGTGGAAGACGGAATGTTGTCAGAGACAAGTCTCTGGAAGAGGAAGGATAAGAACCTTGTGGATCAATGTTTGTTTGAAATATGGGCTGGGCATAGTGGCTCATGCCTGTAATCCCAGCACTTTAGGAGACTGAGGCAGGAGGATGGCTTAAACCCAGGAATCGGAGACCAGCCTGGGCAACAAAATGAGACCCCGTCTCTACACAAAATAGAAAACATTAGCCAGGCATGGTGGTGAGTATCTGTAGTCCTACCTACTTGAGAGGCTGAGGTGGGAGGATGGCTTGAGTCCAGAGAGTCAAGACGGCAGTGAGCCATGATTGTGCCACTGCACTTCAGGTTGGATGACCTTGTGTCCAAAAACCGTGTAAAATATGATATCATGATATACGAAGAAGACTTCCTGGAATCTGGTAGGAAACGTTCTCACCTAGTGGTAGGAGAGGGAAAGGTGTAACAGTCCCCTACTATTCTGACAGTTACTGAATGCTTTGAGGCTGAGTGGCTAGAAGTAGGATTGAAACAAGGCCCCCTCCTAGTGACTTGGCTGTTACTTACTCTCCTCTGATGAGAAAAAGGAATGTTGTTAGGGCAAAAGAGCCACAATTCCCATAGCCTAGTCAAAAGAAAATATGGCTGGATCGAATGAAATCAATGATTTCAGCAATAAAAATACAAAACCATCCTTTATTTCTATACCATCTTGATTTCTGGACTTTGTGTGTGTGTGTGAATGTACCGGTCAATTGATGACTGACTAATTAATTAGACTGATGGGGGCTCAAACCAAACTCATACAAGCTGTCTCATAACATGCGTAAATAAAGTTACTACCAACTGGACTTCAAACAGCAAGATATGATAAATCTACAGTACTTACCTGAACTATCCAGTTTATATTTACTACCCCCAACCAGCTCAGCTAATCCTATAAACCATTAGGCTCTACCTTAGTATGTCAAGTGACTTTATTCTCATGTATCTGTATTGACCATTTTACTTGGTTCAAGGCATTAATCCAGATAAAGCAGGAGATATTAATGATTGCATAGACTCCTCTTCATTTACCTGCAATAAGCACCTGTAGGGCAATCCCATCACCCATAACAAACATGGACAATGAGTTCAGACTGACCAGAAAGTCTCCTAAAGCCAAGCTTGTGTCACTGATCACTGTACTTAAAATTGAGAACCATATTCATACTTTTATTTAATTTAATGACTCCCATTGGAGAGAAAACTGATCAAAGGACATGCGTAAGTCATGAGTCATTTATTCCTCCAGGAACCTTACTCAAGTAGTCAAGTATAGCCTTATTTTGGAAAAACCTTCAAAATCCACTCCATAAATATTCAAGTTTCCCAAGGAGAGGGATTTATATCTGTTTAATCATGGATGTGTTCAAGTGTCCAGAGCCATATCTACTAAATATTAGTATTCCACAAAAATTTGCTAAATAGATGTATGCAATTATAATAATTGTTTTCTAAAAGTACCTGGAGGATATTTTCTTAAATGGTAATTAAGTGGGGCTGGCCTGATGTTTTATCCAGTTACAGAGAAAGAATGCATTCAACCCTCAGAACTTATTTGAATGGATAGGAGAGAAAAATAAAATAAAATATCTTGCTGATTATACTTCATGAATTTGACTTAAACATCTGCAGTTATAATGATTATCATAAACCAAAACATTTCTAAGTATCTAGAGTGTGCAATCACTTGATTAGTTACTGGAAGACAAATAAGTACCATAGCTGAAAATGGTTGCAAAACTTTATTGAAGCAATATGGTACCATGGGCTAGATTGAGAAAAGAAACATTTAAAAGAAAGTGTAAAGAAAATTGAATGGAGCATAATAGAGATTAAAAAAAAATTCTCAAGAGATAACAGCATAAATGAGAAAACTTGGCTGGGCATGGTGGCTCACACCTGTAATCCCAACACTTTAGGGAGCTGAGGCGGGCAGATCATCTGAGGCCAGGAGTTCGAGACTACCTTGACCAACATGGTGAAACCCCGTCTCTACTAAAAATAAAAATAAAAAAAATTAGCCAGGCATGGTGGTGGGCACCTGTAATCCCAGCTACTCGGGAGGCTGAGGCAGAAAAATCGCTTGAACCTGGGAGGCGGAGGTTGCAGCGAGCCGAGATTGCGCCATTGCACTCCAGCCTGGGCAACAAAAATGAAACTCAGTAAAAACAAAACAAAACAAAAGATAAAATAAAATAAATGAGAAAACTTCATTTCAAGAAAAACATTGTTAAGACAATGACGGTGACACATGTAACTGAAAAAAAAAATTAAAATGACCAAATTCATATTGAGAAAGGAATTAGGAAATGCAATTTTCTCTGAAACATTAGCTTGCTACAGTGCCAAAACAGACACTGACCTGAGTGTAGGTCAATGATTAGGCAAAGCACATAATGTCATATTTTCTTCCTCTTCTTATATGATAAATATTTAAAGACAAACAGCAAATTATGATGGGTGTTGTATTAATTTGCGACTGTAAAAAGCAATGCAAACTTTGTAGTGTACACAAGAAAAATGTATTATCTGGTATATACAAGAAAAATGTATTGTCTCAGGGTTATGGATGCTAGAAGTCCTAAATCAAGGTGTTAGCAGGGCTGGCTCTCTCTGAGGGCTGTGGGGGAAGAATGTGTTCTAGGCTCTCACTTAGATTTTTAGATGATTGCTTTCTCCCTGCACTTTTTCATATCATCTTCCCTCCGTGGCCGAATTCCCTCTTTTATAAAGAAACACACCATAGTAGATTTCCCCTTACCCTAATGATCACATATTAACTAATTTCATCTAAAAATAAGACTATTTCCAAATAAAGTCATATTTTGAGGTACTAAGAATTAGGACTTCAACATATGAATTTTTGAGGACACAATTCAACTTGTAACAGATAGGTTAGATATTCTAGAGTTCATAATAAAAGTCTAAATGTATAATATGAGGTAGCATTTGCAAATACAAATAGCTACTAATTATGGAATCAATAACATTACATGGTCTCAAATTTAGTTGGCAAAATCCTTTGAATATATGACTGGACTTATATCATAGTCAATTATGAACACAAGTTTTTAGTTTAAGACCGTAAGTTTTCCATCAGATGTATAAGATTTCACATTCCTCTCTGCAAGTTAAAAGCTATTGAACTCAGTGAATTAATTTTACTTTTGAAACAGGTTTTCCTGATCTATAAATGTGGTGATAACAACAGGAACTTTGCAAATGCAATTATTGTAAAAATGAAGTGATTTGATATTAATAAAGCACTTATTGCTGTTGTTAGTTTTGGTGTAGTGTTAAAACGATTGTTATTACTTTTCTATTTCCAAAATTGAAAATATGGATCACAATTCACTTTCACATGCATTCATAATATTTATAGTGTTGGTGACAATTTTTAAAAATTTACATGTTGTGTTGGTTATCATATGTTACATCAGTTTCCTAGAGCTGCTGTAGCAAAGTACCAGAAAATACAAATGTAGGCTCTCATGCTGCATATTTATGTTTTTTAAAACTGTTGATCATTTAGAAATCATTAAGATTTTAACTCCTTCACCAGTTCATTGCTGTATGAGGAGTGGAACACACACTGTGCTATAGCACGCTTTGGGCACGCTTCTTGCCCTCCCCACGTTCATGCCCTATGTACCTTTGCAATACTCTCCCCTGGGGCAGGGAATAATTATAATCCTCTGATCATCCAACACAATGTGAAGAAAATAAAAATTAATTTCAAAAACAAGATTGCAAAAAAAAAAAAAAAAGAAAGAAAATGTATTCTTTCACAATTCTAAAAGCCAGAAGTCCAAAATCAAAGTGGCAGCAGGGCCATACTCCCTTCCCAAGACTAGAAGGGAAAATCCTTCCTTGCCTCTTCTAGCTTCTGGTAGCTCCTGATATTTCTTGGCTTGTGGCAACATAATTCCACTTCTTTCTTAATATGCCATTCCTCTCTGTGTCCCTCTCTGTGTCCTCTACCCTAATACTAATTACATCGGGAAATACCATATTTCTAAATGAAGTCGCATTTTCACATTTTGGATAGATGAATTTGGGGGAACATTATTCAATCCATAAGAGTCTACCAAGTTTATGTCCATTCCACAGGCAAAATATATTTGCACCATCCCCAAATCTTCAAAAGTCTTAATTCAATCTTGTCTTTGCTCTAAGTCCAAAATTTCATCTAAGTAACACTATCTCAAAGAGTTCCATATTTAATCATCTAAATTGAATATGGATGAGAATCTGAGTATGATCCATCCAAAGACAAATGTCCCCCAATTTTTTTTCTACCTGGAAACTAGAAAACAAGTTATCCACCTCCCAAATACAAGGATGGGATAGACCAGGAATAGATCCATCCATTCTGGATGGCTCAAAACAAGTTCAAAACCCAACAGGTTCAGAGACCTGAAAATAAACCTCTGTGAGTTGAGGTTCTGCCATCTGAGCCCCTGATGCAACCCCACCCTGTAGGCGGCCTGTGGATGTAGTGGCCACCTGCCAATCTCTGAGCCACCCCCAGGGCCATACTTTCTTCTTGAATGATAATGTATGTTTGCAGCTGAATAGCTCCATGAGTTCATTTTCTGGCTGTGGAATTTTGGCAAAAATACTTTAAAATACTTTGTGCTTCCTTCAGGAGGCATATAACATCGAGGTGTCTCTCTTTGATGTTAGCAGCCAGCTACGTGCACTATTTAAATTTATTTAATTAGTCATTTCAAAATGGTGTTCTGGCTGGGTGCGGTGGCTCATGCCTGCAATTCCAGCACTTTGGGAGGCCAAGGTGGGAGGATCATCTGAGGTCAGGAGTTCAAGACCACCCTGGCCAACACGAAGAAACCTGTCTCTACTAAAAGAACAGGGGAAAAAAAAAAGTTAGTCCAGTGTGGTGGCAGGTGCCTATAATTTCAGCTACTTGGGAGGCTGAGGCAGGAGAATTGCTTGAACCTGGGAAGTGGAGGTTTACAGTGAGCTAAGATCGTGCCATTCCACTCCAGCCTGGACGACAAGAGCAAAACTCTATCTCAAAAAAACAAAAACAAAAACAAAATGGTGTTCCAAGTCTACAGCTCTTTATTTATTGGCCAGTATACTTCCTCTAGTCAACTACTTTGTCATCACAGCTGATGAAAAAATAATGAAATAACTAACTTCTCCGAGCAAGAGTCCACACATTCTTGGCTGATTACATATCACTAAGCCTCTTAGTTCTTTTAAATTAGCTGCTATGTGATGCTAGCTAATACACTGTAACAAGCTGACTCTGTCATTGCAAATGGTCCTTCTAAAATATCAGAGACACAGCTCAAGATCCCTTAGCAACAGAGAACTGCAGATACCCCATGGAAGATGTAAACTGGGAAACACGGTTTCAAAAAATTATTTAGGCCATTAGTTCTTAATGAGATTCTCCCGCAATTTTCTCTAAAAATAAATATATACTTTTTTCACCTTTGGGCAATGCAATAAACTCCACTGTGAACTAGTTTTGTAGTATTTATTTATCTATGTATTTATTTATTTATGTTCTACAGTATATGCTCTCTAAATTCATGATGAAAGTACTGAGAGAAATGATATAATATATATTATTAACATAATTAGGAAAAGCGAGCCAACAGTTTATAAATAATGGGAAGGACAGATACTAATATGAGATAAGGCAGTAGATTGCTTCCATTTTGACTAGTACTGTTATCACAATAGAGTATCATTACCACTATGAAATAAAGTTAACAAGCTCTGTCATATACAGAACTGAAAGTAATAATATGTCTATGAACAAGATAAATGTCACTTTTTGTTGCATGTGAGATGTTTATAGTTAATATTTAGAAAAGAATGTTTTCTCCTTTTCTATTTATAAAATATCAGGATAAAAGGATGGATCTGAGAGGACTGTTGAGGCTGGTATTTATGTAACTTCCAAATGGCAAAAAAATAAAAAATAAATCTGCTACTCTCTTCTCTACCCAATATTGGGTGTGAGATGGCTAGATACATAATCCTGTAAATTGGAATAGTGAGAAAGAGGGGAAAACACGTCTGCAAAGAGAAAGGAAGTAGTTCAATTGCGCACAGAAAGGGTATCATGATGTTTACATTTCCATTTAATGGGAGACATTTTTATTCCCTGCTCAGATGTTACTTTGGGAATATATTTTCACTGACAAAAAAAAAAAAGAGAGAGAGAGAGAGCAGAGGGAGAACAAGACTATTAACACAGTATAGCCCAAAACATGAGAGCTGTACAGAAAAATGGAATGAACAAAGGATGAGCAGATTGCATGAAAATGCTGGAGGGCCTTAGAGAAACAGAAGTAAGAATGAGTAATAATCCAACATGAAGAAAAATACAGCAGTAGGGATTTTCACCAGGAACACATGACTATTGAAACAAATTGAAAAACTTTTTTTTATAAACATAGCTTGTGAATAAAATAAGTTCATAAACAGAGATTAAGATGCAGAAAATAGCCTATAAAAGAGAAATCTCTGAGCAGACTGGTATCAGACAAAATTGTATTTCATCAAAAAGAAGAAATCTGAACCAGAATCCAAGAAAGACTATCCTTGAAAATATTGTAGGTCTATTTTCGCTAGCTCCTTAATAAGATGCAACTGGGAAATAGCTAAAGTCTTCTGAGATGATACCATGCATCTTTTGTAATTAATTGTTATGTTTAGGTGGATTTTATTATAAAGCCTCCATTTCATTGTGTGGCTTTGTAACATGAACACTTTACTTTACTGTGCTTATAAGGAAATTAGTTAAAAAGATCCTCCATACACTTTATAAATTGTTTTAGGTTGATGTTCTGGACTGAATGAATCCCAACTATTATAATGCGTTCACGATCCTGGTAAGCAGAGCTGGTAAAACAAGGCAAGCCACAATCTTTAGAGAACATTGCCTCAGCCATGCTAATTTCTGCAGGGAGGGTGCTACATTTATAATAGTAAAAATTGAATACTTAAACAACTTCCAAAAATAGTGTGTTAAAACTATAATATTTATAATAAAACAGTTATTTTTGTTGCCTGTCATTTTCAAATTTTATGCATTTTATCTTACCTACTTTAATCACTAAGATATCCTGATGAGATAAATGGTATAACTATTTTGGTGATGAGAAAACTGAAGCACAGAAAGCTTAAGAAACTTGGACAAAGTCACAGATCTAAGAAATTGAAGAGTTGCATTTAAAACTGAGTGAATCTGGCTCCAGTGCCTATACTTTTAATTCTGCATTACAGTCAGTATCAATATTAGAATAGATAAATATAGGAAAATATTTTTAACAAGTAAAACACAATTTTTTATCCTAACATTAAAAATCAATAAAAATGTTAAGAAGAACATACATTTATAAATATATACACATAGGTATATGTACATGTATGCACACATTTTTTCTTTCTTACGAAAATCCAGAGTTGGGTATGGCTAACAATGTTTTATTGATAACTAAATTGAAAATTGGAAACCTTATACAAGACCATAGCATAGGGAAATATTGCCTATAGAACACGGTGATAAGAACTTTGACTTTATGGATCCGCTTCTGAAAATGAATGCTATTACAAATCATGTTTGCATCAAATGAAACACAATCAGTATACATAAAAAGAAAATGTCATCTATTTTCTATTATTGCTTGCTTCATTGTGAGAAATTTGGATATAATTAGAAGTACCACAGATATTTGTAAGAACAAATTCATAGGGTTCTAAACTAGTAAAATCAAAATTATGCAATGGTATTCATTTATGTATTTATCCTTTATTGAACACGCTTTTTTAATGGCAGAGGCTGTGCTAAGTGTTAGAAATTCTTAAATGAAAAAGGAGAATTCTCCGCCCTGTAGAAAGCAATAGGAAAGACTGCAATTGGACTTAATGAGTATCCACCACATGAAAGAGCACAACATAAACCAGTGCTCAGAAGGGACAATCGATTCTGGGTTTACTGTAGGAATCTGATGGGAAGTCTGCATTTGTTAAAAAAAAAAAGGTAAAATTTACTTGACATAAAATTAACAATATTAAAGTAAGTAATTCAATAGAATTTAGTACATTCCCAATGTTATACAACCACAGCCTGTATTTAGTTCCAAAGTATTTCCATCACTCAAAAGTCAAATCCCATACTCATTAAGCAGTTTCTTCCCAGTCCCTCCTCCCCTATATGCCCTGCAAACCACCAGTCAGCATTTTGTCTTCATGATCAGGATTCTGTATTTTGATTCTGCAGATGTGTTTCAATTTTTAAATGTTTCCTGAGAGGATTTGGTCAGATCCACAGGAAATACTGTAGCCCATCTATTGGAGGGTCAGAATTGCCTACTTTGTAGACCAGTGAATAGATTAACTTAAAACATACTCCTGATTTTTTTTGAAGCATTAAACAGACCATTATTTGGATAGTTAATATATTTTGGGGTTTACCAATTGTTTTCATTGCATGTGCTCTCCTATGACATGTTATTCCAATAACTGAGCTATCATCTGCAATGCGAAATTTTAAGTTTCTAACACTACCTTTTATATGCTTAAAGAAAAAGGCTAAACCATCACTACTTGTTCCTACTTTTGGGGTGCTGAAAATCTCTAGCATACACATTGTGTCTCTTCTGGTTCCTAATAAATTTCCATCACACTCCTTCTTTAACTGCTTTTGCCTAAGCTAGTGAACTTAAGTACTAAAACAGAATAGTTTATTGTTATCCATTAATCAACTATCATGATACTTGACTGAATTTTCTAAATGCAATTTTCTCATAATTATGACGTAAATCTTTACAAAATACACAAGGGTCCTTAAGCCTATTGAATGAAATGTTTAGTAAAGGCATATGCTATATGTTTTATTTTTGTGTTTCTCGTTGTGTGTGTGCAAGAGTGGTTAGTTTTTCCTCAAAATGATCTATCAAAGGCCTTCTATATGTGAGTTAAGCATGTCATTGTTCAAATTTTATTTACAGGTTTGTTTTTCTTTGATTTTTTGGTTCTTACAATCATTTTTAAAAACACTTTATGTGTCACTTGTCAAACTAATCCAACAACTAATCCAATTCAATAATCACAAATATTGCATTGACCAATATTTTTTGACAAATAATATAATACATAAAGAGTTACATAAAGAGGAGATAAATGCTTGCCGGAAGTGTAATCTTTTCATTGAAACATTGTATAATTTCATTAGCAGACATGATGGACAAACCACAGTTTAAATTCCAGAAATTTACTTTTCCTGTTATATGTCTGTACAGTTTCTTCATATTGAACAGGCAATTTGAAGGCATGTCATATTTGTCAAAGTTTTACATTTCTGTCTCATGTCTTTTGTGAATTATAGCCCAATTATTTCAGAACCGAAGACTGACTTCATTTAATTTTTTTTCTGCTTGATAAAAGCTCTCTCTCTAAACTATTGTTATTCTGTAGGCACTAACTTAATTACAGAAAACATCTTATGCTAGGAGACATTTAATTAACTAGCCAACATGAAGAATCTTGCAAAATATTGAAAGAAAGAGATGGATGAATGATTAGCATTCATGGTATCACCAATGTGTCCTCCAGACTGCAAGCTAGCGATATCAGATATATATGATGGTACCAGGTCAATTCATGCTGGAAAATATGAATGTACCCTTAAGATTTGTAGGAAGATTTTTAGGTTTATTTGAGAGAATTAATTTGTAACCCATTTTAGTATGTGTACTTTGTTCAGTGAACAGAAAAACAAATGCTTGGCATCTATATGAACTAATGAAAATTAAAGACAGCAAGATGAGTATCAACTGGAAGGTATAACTGAAAATAGGCAAGGGTTAGGAAAAAAATCACACTTTGAAGATAACAAGAATCCACATAAGCTCGATTATCTGTCCACTGGAAACCTCTCAAGAAGTGAGACCCTTAAATGTAATTTGGACTCAAGTTACTGATAAGATCAAGGTCTTCTTTCTTCTGAAAGCATTCAGACTACAAAACTACATACACCTTAAACTCGATAATTGTGCCATGTTATGAATGTGCTGACATGAGGATTTATGGCAATTAAACAGCAAGGACAACTGGAAGGGCAACAGTCATTATGGAAACTACAAAAGAAAGGACTAAAAGTGACAATATGCCCTAATGCCGCCAGTTGACCTGTTAAAGGAAGCAAGATGCTCTATCTGGATGACAGGAACATTCGAGTTGCTAGAGAAAACAGCTAATTTGTAACAAAGAAAGGAGTACATTAGATTGAATACAATATTATTTAGACATTTTAAATATATTTCCTTAGTGATACAGAAAAAAGTTTGGAGGATAGTCCCAATTTCTTGGAGCACTCAGTTGTGTACCCGCAAAAAAATGTTTTTTACTGACTTAACTGTGCAACTACCTTATAAATTGCTCTAAAATGTGTGCATTTTCACCATAATAAATCCTGCATGCTTTTCAGAGACTGAAACTCTGAATAATCACTGTTTCATAGCCTAAGATGCCCTTGCCATATGGTAAGTGCAAATGTTTCCAAAGCAGCAAATGTTCTGTCAGGGAGTCTCACTGATGTTTTGATTGGATTGCTCTATTATCTGAACATGTCTGCCAAAAGAAAGCACCTGCACAATAAAGTGTGTACAGAAGCTGCCAGGCTGCTACAGCGGAAGGAAAGGAAAGTGTATGTTGACAATATGTTGACAAGTTACCTGTCATCTTCAGATCTACCAAGCAGGTGATGATAGATGCTTCTGCATACTTGATTTCTCACCATAACTTCTGCATACAAGGAAAACCTTATGTCCTTGAGAATCCACTGGAAAATCTTACTCCAGATAAGGGACTATGAACATTGGTGGTTTCTTCTACAGGGTCTCTTCTTAGGAAGTAATTTTACAAAAATAACTGGCAAAAGAGAGCAATGCATGTTCTTTCACAGATTCTCTTTTGGCTTCCAAGATTTCCCAAACAGTGTACGGGATTTTAATAACATTTATTCAAAGTAAATACATTATCTTATCTTTTTCTAAATGCAATCTAAATGCAAAGTTGAATTTGGAAAAAAAGGCATTTCTTAAGTTATAATTGCTTAATATTATTTGATTTTCTCAAAATAGAAAGATTTTTTAAACAAAACTGTAGAAAGATGTACATTATGATAAATCAAGAGTAAAATTATTGTCAGTATAAATTGCTTTATTTGCATTATTATTCCAAATTTTTTAATCTCAAGAATGAAACTGAAAGTAGACACTCGACACTGTAATTATACCTTCCAAACACACACACACATACTCTCTTTCTCGTTCTCTCTTAATTTTACTAATGAAATGGCTATTGGTACCTGTAGTTAATTTTTGAACTTAAATTAAAGTTGCTTTTCTATTTCAGTTACAAATACAGTAGCAAATGTAATGAAAAATCTAGCATACAATCAACTAAAACCTCACTCAATGCCGGACAAGCTGGTTGGCTCAGAAACATCAGAGTAGCAGTGTATACATTGTCTTTATGCTTTCTTCTCAGAATTAACTACAAAATTTTTAAAAATTATATGTTTGATGCTGATTTAAGTGTGTATCCTACATATCATAATAATAATTGCACGAATATTCTGATACTTTTTCCAAGATAACAATAAAATAACAGGAGAAAGATATTCCTTCTGACTCTCTAATTCAATTATATCATAAAAAGTCATTGTGCACTTCAAAAATAAATTAACTCAAGATGTTACTCAATACCCCATCTGCTATATTGCCTTAAATGCATTCCATGGAACCTGGATAACTTTAAGTTATTCTCTATCAGAAGCCAAGGGCTGTTTTTTAATGTTCGACTTTGTTTCAGAAATGACCTCATAAACTCTTTGATGATTTTCTTTTCTTCTCCTTCTCTCTTTCTCTTCCTGTATGAAAGGGAAATATGCTGCAAAATGTTGTTACCTGCTGTCTTTTATGTAAATTACTCTTGATTGCAGTTCGGCACTTTTGAAAGAAAATGAAGCTCACACCACACTTTCACAATGAAAAAAAGACACCTTTAGAAGAACAAGTGAAAGTACCCGAAACAGATTTCCTTTATTACTTTCTTTCACTTTCTATTATTCGTCGTATTTCATTACTTTGTGTAAAAGACATATTGTTCCAATTTTTTTAAAAAATTGTTGTTCAAAATGCTGTCTTCTAAATAAAGAAAAAAAAAGATTATGGAAACTTTTTTTTTTTAACCTGAGATTATTAGTTAACTGAACTCAATTCTATTCTTAGTAGAATTTGAAATTCTCCATTATTGTATATAAAATAGTACAAAACTATCCCTCCAGCTATTCAGTTTAAATCATTACTTGATGTCGTCTTGAGCTTCCAACTAGAATATGCCTTTTCTGCTCTACCAGAAGCACCATGCACAGTTTTGGTACAAGCACTATATATATTCATGAAGAAAAAAGTAGGAAGGAAGGAAGGAAAGGAGAGAGAAAGGGAGGAAGGAAGAAAATAAAAGACAGGAGAAGAGATGAAAAGAGGGAAGCAAGGAAGGAGAGAATAGTCTCTCCCCCACATACACACACACACAAACACACACACACACACACACATATACACATAAACACAGATCTGGACATCTGATTCCACTCATCTAAATGAATTTTATAATAGATAGCTTGAAGGGATTTTATAATAATTATAGAGAATGTGTTATGAAGTATTTAGAATAAATCAAAGTAGCATACAGTATATTGTGGTTTATTTTAAATAGTAAGTAAGCTAGGACTTTAGAGAGCCACTTAGATGAATTCTGAGAGGAAAAGAGACTAGAAGAATAAAACGAAGCACACATGCTTTGGAATTTTTTTTCCAAAAGTCAGATGAGATAAAGTTCTTGCTAAAATTTCATTACTTATTATTTCTCTCTTTGCTTGGCATATTTATTTTGAAATCTTATAAGTTTCTCTGTTCACCAATGGTTCGTTCATTTTTTAAATTGCTTAATTTAATTTTATTTCATTAGGTGGATAGAACAGAATTTGTTTATTCATTTATCTTTTTTTTTTTTTTTTTTTTTGAGACGGAGTCTCCCTCTGTCACCCAGGCTGGAGTGCAGTGGCGCGATCTCGGCTCACTGCAAGCTCCACCTCCCGGGTTCACACCATTCTCCTGCCTCAGCCTCCCGAGTAGCTGGGACTACACGCGTCCGCATCACTCCCTGCTAACTTTTTGTATTTTTAGTAGAGACGGGGTTTCACTGTGTTAGCCGGGATGGACTCCATCTCCTGACCTCGTGATCTGCCCGCCTCGGCCTCCCAAAGTGCTGGGATTACAGGCGTGAGTCACAGCGCCTGGCCTATTCATTCATCTAATGATTGACATTTGGGTTGTTTACACTTTGGGTTATTACCAATTGAGCTGCTATCACTGTTTTTGTACAAGGTTTTGGTCAGACATGTGCTTCTATTACTTTTGGATAAATACTATGAATAGCTGGTAATAGGAGAGGTTTATGTTTCACATTTTAAGAAACTGTCTAACTGTATTCCAAAGTGGTTGTATCCAACATTAGCATATAAAAGTTACAGTTCTTCCACATGCTCATCAACGTTTTGTATGAACAGTCTTTTAAGTTATCTTTTAATAGGTCTATATTAGTCATTTTCTTCATGTTTTATTACATGGAGTTCTTAAGATCATTTGAGCTGTGTTTTTATAGTTTATATATTTGGAAGGTTTTTAGCCATTATTTCTTCAAATAATCCCCTTTTGTTTTAGAGGATCTGATTATACATATATTACCTTCATTAAAGTTATCTGACAGTTTACTAATTCTCTGTCCATATTTTAAATTATTTTTCTTTGGCTTCCATTTAAGTAGTTTCTAATGCTATATATTTTTAAAATATATTTGTTTTTAACTTTTTATGTTTAGTTTTTATGCATACATAATAGTTGTGCAATATTTGCTATATCTTAAAGACCATAAAATACGTGAGAAATCCCTAAATTTTTGGAAATTAAATCAAACATTTCTAAGGAGTTCCTGAATCACAGAAGGCAACACAAAGGATATTATACAAAAGCTAAGTTAAATGAAAATAAAATATATAAAAATGTGAAATATTTAGTTAAAGTAGTTCCTAGAGGAAAAAATTAACTTTATTATTAAAGATAAAAAAGAAGGCCAGGGTGATGGCTTATGCCTCTAGTCCCAGCACTTTGGGAGGCCAAGGTGGGAGGATCACGAGGTCAGGAGATTGAGACCATACTGGACAACTGGTGAAACCCCATCTCTACTAAAAATACAAAAATTAGCTGGGCGTGGTGACACGTGCCTGTAATCCCAGCTACTCACAAGGCTGAGGCAGGAGAATTGCTTGAACCAGGGAGTCAGAAGTTGCAGCAAGCTGAGATCATGCCACTGCACTCCAGCCTGGTGACAGAGTGAGACTCCATGTCAAACAAATAAATAAAAATAAAAAAATAAGAACCAGCTATTGTCAATGACCTAATACTCTAAAAACAAAGAGGAAAAATATAATAAATATTTGGATGGTAGTATAAACAATAAAGATAAAATAGATAAACAATAAGAACACTAATAAATCCAAAATTTGATTGTTCAAAAGTATCGGCAAAAACTATAAACCTTAGCTAGACTGATCAAGAGAAAAAGAGACCAAAAAAACCACTAACATGAGAAATGCTAAAGGGGTTTTTACTACAGGTGCTACAGAAATTGAAAAGGAGAAAAGAGAATATTATAATCACCTTTTTAAAAACAACTTTGACAACTTAGAGATAAATGGTGAAGCTACCTGAAAAATATAAATTATTTTATCAACAGAATATTAAAAAATCTGAATATTTTATATATTAAAAAATTTTTATTTGCTAGCAAAATCTACCATCAGAATTTTACGCTCAGAAGTTTTCACTCAAAGAAATAAAAAATGTAAATGGAAAGAAAAAGAGAGAGAGAGAGAGAAAGAAGAGAAAATAATATTTTCAAATGGCATGAATGTTGAAAATTCCAAAGAAACCAAAAAATAGATACTTGAACTAATATGTTCAGAAAGCAAAGTCATAGAATGAAAGACTAATGTATAAAAATTAACTACATACTTATACACTAGCAAGAAACAATTGGAAAAGAAATTTTGAAAATTCCATTTACAGCCAGGCACTGTGGTCCATGCCCATAATCTCAATGCTTTGGGAGGCCAAGGTGGGAGGATTGCTTGAGGTCAGGAGTTCAAGACCAGCATGGACAGCATAGCAAGACTACATTTCTACAAAGAAAAAAGCAGAGAATTATTGTGAGGACATGTGCCTATAGTCCTAGCTACTCAGGAGGCAGAGGAAAGAGGATCACTTGAGCACAGGAGTTCGAAGCTGCAGTGAGTTCCCTGCACCACTGCACTCTAGCCTGGACAGCAGAGTGAGACTCCATCTATAAAAACAGATAGATGTTTCCATTACAAAATACCAAAAACACAAATTATTTAAAAATAAATTTGATGAGACATAACATCTCTTTATGAGATGCCCACAATGAACACAATAAAACCATATGCCCACAACGAACACAATAAAAGACAACTTAAATAAATGGAGATATATAACATGCTGTTGAATTGAAAAATATTGTTCATATATCGATTCTTAACAAATTGTTTATTGTTTAAATAAAATCTCAATCAAAGTTCCAGGATTTTTTTCCAGAAAATCAGCTAGAATAACTGAAATAAACTTAAAAATCAAGAATAAATCTGGAGAATTTACAGTACTTAATTTTAACACAGAATTGCAGACATTGAGACACTGTGTTATTGGTGAAAGAATAGATATCCAGGTCAATGGAAGGAAGTAGAGTTCAGAAATAGACTCACAAGTATATGGCCAGTTGATTTTTGGCAAGAGTGCCAAGAGAGGATGATGACAAAAGAAAAACCATTTCAACATATAGTGCTGGAAAAAACTGATAAATTATGAAGAAAATAAATATTGATCTGTACCACAGACCTTACCCAAAAGTAAACTCAAACTGGATTGTACACCAAAATTCAAATCTTATGTGTATAAAACTTATAGAAGTAAAAGAAAAAAAAGAGAAAATCTTTGCAACCTGGGGATGGGCAATATCAAAGTAATGTTCTTTTTAGAAAACATAAATATAAAGATGAAGTCTTAGTCTACTTTGTGCTGCTACAACAGAATACCACAAACTGGGCAATTTACTAAGAATAGGAGTTTACTTTCTCACAGTTCTAGAGGTTGGGAAGTTTAAGATCAAGACAGCTTCAGGTTCAGCTGTCTGGTGAGGGCTGCATCCTCCAGAAGCGGGAATAATGTGTTCTCACATGGGAGAAGGCAGAAGGGCAAGGCAACCAAACATCGCATGAAGCGTACTTCATAAAAGCTCTAATGCCATTCATAGTGGGAGGAGCCTTCATGACCCAACCAATTCCCAAAGGTCCCATCTCTCTCTCAACATCATTACTCTGTCAACATCTAATGTTTTGAGAGGACACATTCAAACCATGGCAATGTCCTTGCTCTAGAAGAGGGGGCTACCAGTGTGTTTAAATGTAATAGTGACTGTGTCCTTACAATAGCACCCAGAATAAATACATTGATTGCTCCATTTACTTTTTATACCTCCTGAGCTCCTTTCTCTTTTGTTCACCACTGCCAATTCCAGGCCATGAGAACTTATTCTATGGAGTTAATAGTTAAGTTACGTAAAATGTATGCATCTCACACTCCTTGAGAAGATCGTGTTTCTTTACAAATAATTTGGAAGATTAAATACATCCTGGAGGCATACATGTTAACTGATGGGACAAAACTCTGAGAAAAAAAGATATCTCATTAACAGGATTTGGGAAACTCAGGTATTCTTCAAAAATTACTCTCTTTGTTTGAGAGAGTAATTACTACACCTACTTCTCTAGGGACACAAAAACTGATTAAAATTCCTTAGCTTAAATAATTATAGGATAATCTTGCTGAACTTCTTATGGTTCCTGGACTAATACCCTAGAAGAGGGGAACAATCAACTCATATCTGAACTGAAACAGAAGTAACCTGGCTACGTAAAATAGCCTCAGGCAGGAACTAGGGTGTTTCTTCATTGTTAAGCCTGGGCAATCTTGAAGCATTGGTTCCAAGAACTTTTCAGTTTCTTCTTATAATGTGAAGAATCACTGTGGTAACTCACAGCTTTTAAACATCTTTTGTACAAAGCCTTCAAGGCTGTAGGCATTGCCCTGCCAGAAGAGTCAACAACTAATTAATAATAATAGTAATAATAATAATAATGTAATAAAAGTTTGTTTATCAACATTTAGTCTGAAAATCAACCGCAAATGGGACATCAACTTAAAGGAGAGTTGATAACAACAATGACAACCTATCCCTGATGCTAGGAGGAAAAATAGGGCTGATGAGAAAAAGAAATGCTTTTATGCTCCAATTCAAGATTGTAAATGACTGATTGTTCAGTTCTCATAGCAACAACTAACCCTTAGCACTGGTAATAAACTAATTCTAACCAATCACTGACAGCTTTCCCCACACATACCTCTGAAAGCTGGCCAACAAGTGACAGACACTCAGGAAAGCCAGCCAAGCAGCAACAGCCTCACTCCAATAAACATACAGCCATGCCTCACTTAAGGATGGGGAAACATTCTGAGAAATGCATCGTTAGGCAATTTTGGTATTGTGTGAACATAAAATGTACTTAAACAAACCTGGATGCCAGGGCCTCCTACACACCTAGGTTATATGAAATAGTATATTGCTCCTAGGCAACAAACCAGTACTGCAAGTTACTGTACTGAATACTGTAGACAATTGTAACACAATGGTGAGTATTTGTGTATCTGAACATAGAAAAGGTACAGTGAAAATATAACATAATCTTATGGGACCACTACCGTATATGTAGTTCGATGTTGACCAAAACATTGTTATGAGGCATATGACAGTATTTCTTCTGCTAAGGTCAACCAATGTTAAGACCTATTGCTGAAAAACTACTTATCTCTGAACTGCAAGTCTCAAAAACTTTATAAAGGATCAGGATTTTGTTCAGAAAAATGGCTTACAAGCACAGATTCTTTTTAGTAAAAATAATTTTAGGCTACTGTCCACCACCCCAGATCCTGAGCAGTGACCTCTTTCTTCAGTAGTCTTTACTTGCCAATTGGTGTATATGAAGTCTGCCATCTTCTGTTATTTTTCTGTCGTCTTTCTACAATTACCATAGGCTACTGGTGATACAGTGATTGCAAATGCAAGATGCAATCACAAATGGGCACTTTTGAGTCAACGCCTTTTTTTTTCTTTCTTTCTTTTTTTTTTTTTTTTTGGAGACAGGGTCTCCTCTGTGGCTCAGGCTGAAGTGTGGTGGCCTGACGATCATGGCTCATTGCAGCCTTGAACTCCCAGGCTCAAACCATCCTCCCACCTCAGCCTCCTGAGTAGCTAGGACCACAGGCACATATTACCGTGCCTAGCTAATTTTTAATTTTTTTTCAGAGACAGGGTCTCTTTTTTTTTTTTTTTTTTTTTTTTGTATAGAGACAGGGTCTCACTGTGTTGCCCAGGCTTGTCTCAAACTCCTGAACTCAAGTGATTCTCCCACCTTGGCTTCCCAAAGTGCTGGAATTACAGGCATGAGCCACTGCACTGTCCCAGTGCTCTTTTTTAATTCCAGAAAAAAATCCAATGCTAATTTTAGAAATTATTAAAATGGAAATATAAACATTCAAAATCACATAAAAAGTTTTAAATTCCAGATTGTATGCATGAATCTCTAGAGTTCTGTGGTCCTTGGTTTGACATTAACACTGCACAAGTTTTAGAAGTTGTATATTCATAGCTAGAAAATGCAAGTCTCTTGACCTCAGTGGATCATCTGAATTTTGAGCCTATGGAAAGAATTGTTAAACCAGTAGCTGATGTTAAGATGATATATTATATGAATCACTTAGGGGTAGGAATACTGATTTGTTTGGAAGGGACAAAGAAAATATGAGGTACGCTGTATCTTACCAATGGAAGTTTAAGGCAGGTACATACTGCTTTGCTTCTTTTTTCATTCAATTAATACTTGTTGAATCCATCTCTTGTGCTAAAACACTGTGATAGCTGTTTGTTGCAGATCACATAACTCAACTTAGAAGTAATTTTCACAAAAGTATGTTAAGGATCAGAATTGGATAATCAAGATTTACTCTAAATGTAACTAAACAACTCTGGAACTGAGCTGAGGGCCACTGCAAAAATGGACCAAGGTATTTGTGATGATCACGAATTGACTATAAGAATTCTAATGGCGAACGTCACTTGGACTTTATTAAATATTTTTAAATGTCTACTAAGTGCTGTCACAGTTATAAATATGTTAATAATATAGATGTGAGTAGCCCCCCACCAACCTCCAATAGAATCTCAATTTGCTAGGAAATGCAGATATGAAAAACATAATCACACTAAAATTTGGAAATGCTATGAAAGACAAATTAGAGGGTGCTACGAGAATGTACAGGGGGGAAAAAAGAAAGTACTTACAAATCAAGGAAGTTATTCCCAGCATTAGTGCAATCTCGGCTGACTCAGGCAGTGGGGAGAAGCAACCACTGAAAGGAATGGGAGAAAGGTACTTCATATCTAACACGTACAAAATAGAAAGTATCAGTTGTCCTTCCTGAAACCCGTTTTCTCCTCTTGATTATCTACCTTCATGAATGGCAATGCTACACTCTTACTCATCACAATTAAACTTTTGGAAACCATTTTTTATTCCTTTTTTTGTATATCTTTGACAACAAATAACTTTACTGAAATTACATTAACATTTTATTAGTTTACTGTTATCTATTTATTTATCCCTTTTGATATAGCTTCGTGAGGTCAGGAACGTGTTACGCTCTGTTCATTCTGCATTCCCAGTGTCAGGAAACATACTGGGGGGTAGGAGGGAGTCAGTTAATATTTGGGGAGTGAGTAAAGATATCATTATAATTATAAAGTTGTATGAACTGAAATCCATAAAAGTTAGGGATTTGACAAAACTGTATAGCCAGAATTTGATCTCAGATATTTGAAATGTCCAAGATGAGGTATGGTCTTATGCACTACAGCATTCTGCTTCAATTTTGAACAGTGAGGTGTATTTATCTGTAGCTGAAACATAGGGAGTGCAGTGTTCTAAGAATTGACAGTTTAGCGGAAGTTCTAAGTGAGAACATCATAAGTAGGGTAAAAAAGAAGGAGCTGCTGTAGAAAGAAGGTGGGTTTGTGGTCGGAGATTTGCATGTGTTGCTTCTTTTCATCAGTGTGACCTGTGATAAGTAATAACATTTCTTAGTCTCTAGCTCCTCAGTTTCCAAAAACAAAAATATTCTAACCTATTTTAGATGTGTTTGAACAAATTCAAGGTGAGTTCAGCAAAGTATACATTTCATAATACGCATTCAGTCATTAAAATGAAGACTCGATTTGATTAAAAACAAAATACAACTTTGGTAAAAATTGGTGCCGTTGTTTGTTTTTGTACTTGATTATATATATGAGGCATAACATTGGATTTGGGGGGCCATATCTTCTCCACATTTGTGCCGCAATATCTGGCATTCTGAATGGGACACACTGGTGCTCAATAAATGTTTGGTGAATAAATATGCGATTCTTGATTTTATTAGTCAAGCCTAGTGATGAGAAATGGCAGAACTAAGAAACATTTTATTGAGGACAGGCATAGCCTTCCATGACATAATACAAATGTTTTATACCCACAGATCGTTTAGACGAAGTCCCAGATTTCATGATTTCTCAGATTCAGGGTCTATATGTTATTTTATACGAACTACTCTAGAAAATAGACGCTGGGATTAGGAATCAGAAATACTACTAGATTAGTGAAGTATAATCCCAGTAAAGCAGAAAGAAGAGAAAAGGGCATGAGGCAGGCTAGGCTGAAAAGAGAAGTACAAGGTAATGTGTTACTGCGCTAACGGCTATTTCATGCTGAGCCTTGGAAAGATAAGGGCTTTACTTGGCTCTTCCACCTTCTTGGCCATTAGAATTTGTCAAGACAGACTATATGAGAAAACCATGCCTTGAAGCAGCTCTACATACGGAGGAAAGAAAAGATTGTTCATTTGCACGTTTCTTCTTATCCCCAATGCCAAATTATTTAAAGTTTGTCCCATAAGCGAGTTAACGCTCTATGGTTCTGAGCCCATTTGGCAGTTCACTAGAAGCAAATACCATGCCCTGCTACACATCCTTTCACTGAGTCTGTAAGTGGCTAGAGATGGAAGGCCGCTTTGGAGATTGTTCAGTCTCGGGTACTCAATTGGTTGACTGCAGCAGCTGCCAGAGTTGAACAGAAAGCTGACGATTGTGAAGCCAGGTAAAGCTAAACGAATCTGAGGAACTCTGTGAAAGGTATCCAATATATTTACCAACAAAAGATTTCTGTAAAACAAATAACACTTCATATTCCAATATTTAAGAGCTAACTTGGCTGAAATACATAATTTTAGTGGAAGAATAGTTTTCCTAGGACAGGAAGGTGAACAATAATTTCTGTGCCGCTAGTCAGCATATTTTCTCATTTTCCAACTTCCAATCTTTAACATGGACTTAACAACACCAGCAATGTGTACTTAAATAAATGAGCCCTCAGTATATACAGATGTTCCTGTCTTTATGAAGAGACTATATCCTAATAAACCCATTGTAAGTTAAAATTATGATAAGATGAAAATGCCTTTTAATAGACCAAACATCATCATGGTTTAGTCTAACCCACCTTAAATGTGCCCAGAGTACTTAAATTAGCTTACAGTTGGGAAAAATTATCTAAGAAAAAGCCTGTATTAACTTTAAGTGTTGAATACCTCATGTAATTTGTTGAATACCATACTGAAGTATTTTTGAACCATTGTAAAGTCAAAAAAATTGTAAGTTGGACTATCATAAGTTAGGAGGTTATTTAGCAGTGAGTGAGCAAAAAGCAAAAACATTTCAACTTTATAAAAGAATTTTGATGTATCTTTTTGGGAGAGGGTAAAATAAGTAGAAATGTAATAATTTTTTTTCCTGTGGAGGAGAATTAGAGATTCTCACCTGTATCAAGTGAGCTATGGGAAATAATTTACGATGTTTATTCCTCAGCTGTCCAATTGATACAAAGAAGATATAGTTTGCTTCCAACCTACATTACTGCTTTATATATATATAACCTGGGGGTTCTGTCCATAAAGTAAACCCAGGGCAAACTCACCTTCTTTTAATAATATTTGTGAATTCCCACAAGCCCTAATTCTTTGAAATTGGCATCATAGATAAAATGAAGAGTTGACTTTCTTATCTGCATTAGTCACCCAGAACTTGCACTCTGCCTCTAGTGAGTCCAAAGGAAAGACTGGTTTTCTGTAGGTTTCTTTGCTTTTAAGTGGCTAAATTGAAAATACAGAGCATATCTTGTAAATAAGCACAGACCAAGGCTCCATTGGATGATACCAAATGTAAAATCATTTTTTTTTTCTTTGCAAGGCAAAGTAAATCAGAGTTCTATGATATTGGGCTTTGTTTTTTTCAAGGTTTGTTTTCTAGAATCTCTGATTAAATGGGGAATTAGGGACTCCTCTGATTTACTGGTCATGCAACAGTGAATGAACTTGTGGTGGAAGTGAAGACAAAGGAGTTCCTATTTTCTTTGTAGTTTCCTTAGGCTATTAAATTAGATCCTTCTTCAACATACATTTTACTCTTTCACTAGTAAAATTATTTCAACCCCTGATTTTAAAAAATATGATAATTTATCATATTTGTGTGGTAAAAATGGGTAGGTATAAGGTATATTTTATGAAAAGATTCCATCAGAGAGATATAATTCAAAATAACAAGGAATTTGTAAAAATGTACTTATACTCCTGGATAACTTTGGTAACTGCAAATGAACAGAAACATTACTAGACATGTGTTCGATATTTTATCTCTGGTCTCTCCAGTATGGACTAAATGTCTTGGTTGACATAACTTTTATTGAATGCAATTTGAGTGTGTGTCTTTCTGACTCAGAAATATCCAATCTTCCTACCTATATGTTTCATTATATTTCAGACATCAGTAATTTGCAGCAATACCATAACTGCATCAACAATGAGTTCTTTGCTTCACACTCTTTGGCTCTTTGCTTTTTCTACATTTCGTAATTCCAGTGCTATCCTAATTGAAGTCTGCTTCTCTATCAATCAACTTTATATATTTTTCTTTCAGCATCTCCAACATTATATCTATGTAATGTGTAATTTGGTAAAGCTATCATGAGGTAAAAGGTAAAATGACCTTAATATAATTACAGAAAATTAACACCTTTCAAGCTTTTTGAACTAAATCAACTCACTTCTTATTGAGACCGAGTAACAGTTAAAACAAATTCAAATAGCCTTTGAAGGGCTCTCTTTCTTCCCTCGGAGGGAGACATTTTGTGTAAGAGATAGGCGATTTGTTTTCCATCATTCTGACAAAAATGACCAAAATGCAAATCAACATGAAAATAATCTGTACAAATTCACAAATTAAGTATAAGAAATGAAGGATGAATTTTAAAACCATTTTTTGTTTATATGTGCCTTATTTATTTTTACCTCAGCTTCTCCTGACATACGTAGTGGCTCTTTCTGAAGCGAGAGAATAATCCAATTCAAAATGCTATTACACGATGCAACATGTAATTACTGCCTATGGTGTTTCAGGCACTTTACTATGTAATCTAGACAGAACAACATGCAAGATTGAACAGTGTCTGTTTTTAAGAAACTGATTATAATCTTTATGTTCTGATATCAAAGAAAATTGCATGTCATTCAATTAAAATCTATTTTAATATATCTAGCTTAGCTAGCTAGCTATGACCTATCAATCTCTAAATGAAGAAAGATGATGTCAGATTCTAGCCTTTATAAGCCAACAAACCAAAATCAAAATAACTCAACCGCAGAAATATTCTGGGTTTGTTTTTGTTTTAACTTTAAGTTCTGGGATACATGTGCAGAACATGCAGTTTTGTTACATAGGTATACACATGCCATGGTGGTTTGCAGCACCCATCAACCCAAAATATTCTGTTTTCAAGTGATGGAACTATAAAAATGCTTTTGGGCATTTAGAAATCTTAACAAGAATATGTTTATTTGGAAATAGCAAAAAAAGAAGACATTTTGCCCTAGGGGATCGGTTATATAACTAACCCATGACTGAAAAGTGGATATAATAATTGACAGATAAAAAATACTTGAAAAATAACTCACAGTATTCCATTAGTAAATACAGTTTTCTTTATTATGGATTCAATGTTGGGGTGAGGAGGAATTTTCTTACAATTTATGAAGTTTATTCTATCTTTTAACACAGACATTTTTTCTCTGCCAGATATTACATACAAATACTAATGTTTCAAAATCCCAAGTTGTAGGATTTTATGCTATGCATGTTTAAAACTAATTCCACAAATACAAAAAGTCAAATGTTAAGACCAAACTAAACCCATATGGATATGCTAATTAATTTGAGAGGATTTCCTCTTGGGATGGAGTTTATATACTCTTTCCTTATATAAAAATCCAGAAATAATCTTTAAATTTAGAGCCAATTTTCTGACATTCACACTAAAAATGTGACTAAAACATCATATCTTTTGGTGGACTTCCAACTTACTCATTAAATCTAATCTGGAGAATATGGATGAATTGGTTTTGATGATACATAACTTACTTGATCTGGTAGTTTTAGTGCCTGGTGAAACAAACAAAATCAGACCCTAAGTGTCCACAGGTTTTAAAACTATGAGTAATATTTTTTAATAGGACTACTAAAACTAGACTATCAACAGATGTTTAAACTAAGTTTTTTGGTTCTCATAAGTCATAATCACTTACCTCTTCTGGTAGGCAATACAGTATAATAGGCCAAAACTTGCATTAGATGATGACAATAAAATGGTATATACAGAAAGCTTTGGGCAATCCTGTTTAACACTCTACAATAAAAGTCATCCCTTTTCAGAAAATTAATTGCAAACTTTCAAATATACATAGTAGCTCTTTTCTGTCGAAGTTTTAAATAACTATAGATAATGAACACAACTATAAAAATCTTCTTCTGATTCACATATTTACTGTTATTCATATTGTGACTTATTAAAATTTTTGTAGAATTACATTAATTTGAAAGCCTGCTATACTTTCACTCTGTACTCCTTCCTCTGAAAAAGAAAACAATAAAAAAGGATAGCTTGCAAAATGTTCTTTTCCTGAGAAAATAACTTAATCATTAAGTAATACTTTGTGCCATGTGGCTCCAGGGATTCCCATTTATATTTTTTTCAATCACAGAATTATATTATTCATTTAAAATTTAACAGTTTTAATTGAAAATAGACAAGAAAAAGTGACTAGAATTCAGCCTTTACTACTGGAAGTTATATTTTATAGAAAAATTCCTATTTACTATACATTTTCTACTGTAAATTTCATAGACATGTTTATCAGGGTAGTGTCAGGTCATTAAGTAGCACTAAAGAGTTATTAAGAATAATCAGGGATTTAAAAAGTAGGCAGCATAGCTGTAAAAATGAAATTATTATACCCATGGAAAGATCTGATACATACATCACCAAAAGAAAAAAAAAAAAGCCCCTAACTCTCAATACGTTCTGTGCTCGATCTGTTTCCAAAATCTACCAAGGAAATTGATTTTGTGGAATTCTCCACAAACTTGAGACCATTAATTAAACCAGATTTTATTTATTAGAACAGTAATGTTTAACAGTGACCCCAAAATTAAGATACAAGTTATATACATACCATAAATTACAAATTAGGTAAAGAAAAAATATTAATAAATTTCATTATGGGAACACATATCTTCAGGCCAAACACATGTTCCCATATTCTGTCACTAAGTATATTCTGTAAAATGTGATATGAAAAATTAAATGGCCATTAATTATCACCCTTTGTTTGCATCTTGGCTGAGAAACAGTTTCAAATGCTTGATCATTTCGAGAAACTGTGTGAGCTTTCTGTATATTCAAGCCAGCTACCTTGGAAATCCCCCAACTCTCTTAATTATCTGGCTTTATTTATAAAAACAGCATGCTGTGATAGTATCAAAGACATTAAAGACATTCAACTTCACCAAGAATTTAGTGGTAATAGTAGATATATGAATAGGAGAATCATGTAATTTTATTAAAATACATGCATTTAGATAACATACAAGTTGTATAAGAAATAAATAATTATGATATGTCTTTGAAGATTCCCTAAAAATGACTAAATTATTATTATTTTCTCAATTTCAACTCTTTATGAATGACCATTGTTGCTTACAAAAGAAACATCAGAAATGTTGATACAAAGAAGGAAATTACCCTAACTGCCTAGTCAATGTCCTTTCTCTTCATCTTCCTTATTTGTGTTAGCCATAGGCCTATTTAATAGTAGTCATTTCCTCAAACTCTCTTACAGATGGAGGAGATAATTGCATAAGAATCTCTTAAAGAAAAAAGGTGAAAATACATGTTTATGATATTTGCCTATCTACATTCTGCCTGACTTGCTAACAAAATGCATAGAAGTGAACAATTCATAGAATGCATATGCTGTTGAAGATAACAGAATCTAATTATTTTATGGCTAAATAGCATTCTATTATGTATATGTACCACATTTTCTTCATCATCTGTTGATAGATACTTAGGTTGCTTCCAAAGCCTATGTATTATGAGCAGTGCTGCAACATGCATGTGCAGATATCTCTTCAGTATACTGATTTTCTTTTTGTGGGTTATATACCCAACTGTGGGATTGCTGGATCATATGGTAGCTTAATTTCTAGTTTTTTGAAGAACCTCCAAATTGTTCTGCATAGTGGTTGTACTAATTTACATTCATACCAACAGTGTATGAGGGTTCCCTTTTCTCCATATCCTTGACAGCATTTGTTATTCTCTATCTTTTGGATATAAACCATTTTACCTGGGGTGAGAGGAAGTCTCACTGTAGTTTTAATTTGCATTTGTCTGATGATCAATGATGTTAAGTACATTTTATGCACTTGTTTGCCATTTGTTTGTCTTCTTTTGAGAAATGTCTGTTCAAATATTTTGCCCACTTTTTGATCAGATTATTAGAATTTTTTTCCAACACAGTTCATTGAGCTCCTTGTATATTCTGGTTATTAATCTTTTGTCAGATGGCTAGGTTGCAAATATTTTTTTCCCATTCTGTGGGCTGTCTCTTCACTTTGTTTATTGTATCCTTAGTTATGCAGAAGATTTTTTTCTTTTCCAAATATTTTTATTGAAATGACAATAAAATAAAGAACAGTGACCATTTTAACCAAATTTTTACTTTACAAATATAAAAATATAATCAAAACTTCCATTTCTTTTATACATTTTCCATAAACTTAATACCAGAAAAGTTCTCAAAGTCAAACTTTAAATGATGCTTGTATACTATGATATGAACACAATAACCAAAATTTAAATTTCCAAATACACTGACCTTTTCCTCAACAGGACAGCATAATCAATATATCTTCCCAACTTATCTCTATTTTTACGATACAATCCACCACTAAATACAAAATACACCTAAACTGGCTTACTCTAGACTTATCCAGGTTTTAGTAAGGTTTTTTTCCACAAAAACAAGCTTAATAAATATAATACAAGCTAATATTAAAATGTGTTTTATGGCTCAAATCAAATTAGAGTATTAAGTTTCTCATCACGTATTTGAACAAAGGCAAACTGCCTGAAATGAGTCCAGTTTAACCCAAATAATCAGTGATGTATATATAATAAGTGGGGTAAGTATGGGAAGCTTTGTAACTTGGTGTGATCCCATTTGCCCGTATTTGCTTTGGTTGCCTGTTCTTGTGTGGTTTTGCTCAATGAATTTTTGCCCAGACCAATGTCCTGGAGATTTTCCCCAAACTTTTTGTGTAGTAGTTCAATAGTTCGAAGTCTTAGATGTAAGTCTTTAATCATTTTGCTTTGATTTTTGTATATGGTAAGAGATAGAGTTCTAGTTTCATTCTTCTGCATATGACTATCCAGTTTTCTCAGCACCATTTATTGAAGAGACCGTCTTTTCCCCAGTGTGTGTTCTTCGCACCTTTGTTGAAAAAGAGTTCTCCAGAGGTGTGTGGCTTTGTTTCTGGGTTCTATATTTTGTTCCATTGGTCTGTGTGTCTGTTTTTATGCCAGTACTCTGCTGTTTTGGTTGTTCTAGCTCTGTAGTATAATGTGAAGTCAGATAACGTGATTCCTCCCGTTTTTTTTTTTTTCTTTTTCTTTTTCTTTTTTCTTAGGATAGCTTTGCTATTCCTGGGCTTTTGTGGTTCTGTATGAATTTTAGAATTGTTTTATTATATTTCAGTGAAGAATATCATTGGTTTTTTAATAGGAATTGTATTCAATTTGTAGATTGCTTTGGGTAGTATGAACATTTTAACAATATTAATTCCTCCAATACATGAAAATGAAATGTTTATTTTTCATATCTTGGTGCCGTCTTCAATTTCTTTCATGAATGTTTTATAGTTTCCATTATAAACATCTTTCACTTCTGTGGTCAATTCTTTGTATTTACTTTTATTTGTGCACATAGTAAATGGAATTTTAAAATATTATTTTTCAGAATATTCACTGTTGGGATATAGACATGTTACTGATTTTTATGTTGATTTTTTTATCCTGCAACTTTACTAAATTTATCAGTCCTAATAGTTTTCTTTTGGAGTCTTTAGGTGTTTCCAAATATAAGATCATATCATCTGAAAACAAGTATAGTTTGACTTCTTCCTTTCCAATTTTGATGCCCTTTATTTTTTGCTTTTGTGTGATTGTTCTAGTTAGGATATACAGTACTATGTTGAATGACAGTGGTGGAAGTGGGCGTCCTTGTCATGTTCCAAAGCTTAGAGAAAAGGCTTTCAGTTTTTCCCCATTCATTTTAATACTAGCTGTGGGTTTGTCATATATGGCTTTTTATGTTGCGGTATATTCCTTCTATCCCCAGTTTTTTGAGGGTTTTTTATCATGAAAAGATGCTAAATTCTATCAATGCCTTTTCAGCATCAATTGAAACAATCATAGGATTTTTAGCCTTCATTCTGTTGATTGATATATCACATTGATTGATTCACATATGTTAAACCCTCCTTGCATCCCAGGGATAAGTCCCACTTGGTCATGATGAATGATCTTTCTAATGTATGACTGAATTTGGTTTCCTAGTATTTTGTAACTGTTATGTGTAAACTCTTATTCTAAATAGAAAGATTAAAAGATGAACCAATAAAAATAATAACTACAGTGACTTTTCAAGATTTGGACAGTATAATAATATATACATAGAAGCAATAAAAAGTTATGAAGTGATGATATTAAGTTAAGGCATAGAATTTGTATTAGTCTTTCTGCCCTTCTGTTTGTTGCTTACGCAAACACTGTTAAGTGTTAGCTTAAAATAATGGGTTATAAAATAATATTTGCAAGTTTCATGGTAACCACAAACCAAAAACATGCAATAGAAACACAGAAATAAAATAAAATAAAAAGCAAGAAATTAAAACATATCACCGAGAAAATAACCTTCACAGAAAGAAGAAAAGAGAGAGAGAGAAGGAAGGAAGGAAGGAAGGAAGGAAGGAAGGAAGGAAGGAAGGAAGGAAAAACAACCAGAAAACAAATAGCAAAATGGTAGGAGTAAGTGGTTACTTACCAATAATAACATTGAACGTAAATGGACTTAATTCTCCTATCAAAATACGAGAGTTTTCATCTGAATGTATGAAAAAACAAGATCCATCGATCTGTTTTCTGTAAGAAACAAACGTCACATATAAAGACGCACATAGATTGAAAATAATGGGATGGAAATAGATATGCCATGCCAGTGGAAACCAAAAAGGAGGAGGAGTAGCTATACTCTTATCAGACAAGATAGATATCAAGAAAAAAAATACAAGGAGAAACAAATAAGGTCACTATATAATGATAAAAAGTAATTTTTACAAGAGGATATAACAATTTTAAATATACATACACCCAATATTGGAGCACCCAGATAATATAAAGCAAATATTGTGTTAGAGCTGAAAAGAGAGATAGGCCCCAATACAATAACAGCTGGAGACTTCAGCGCCATATTTTCAGTATTGGACAAATCTTCTAGAAAGAAAATCAACAAAGAAACATCAGACTTAATGTGCATTATAGACCAAACGGATCTAATAGGTATTTACAGAACTTTTCATCCAGTGGTGGCAGAATACACATACTTTTCTTCAGCATATGGATTATTCTTAAGGATAAATAATATTAGGTCACAAAACAAGTCTTAAAACATTAAAAAAACTGGAAATAATAACAAGCATCTTCTCTGATCAAAATGGAAAAAAAACCCTAGGAATTGATAATTAGAGGAATTCTGAAAACAATATAAATACTTGAATATTAAACAATATGCTTCAGAAAGACCAGTGGGTCAATAAAGAAATTAAGAAGAAAATTGAAAACTTTCTTGAAACAAATAATAAGGAAAACATAACATACCAAAACTTATGGGATACAGTAAAAGCAGTATGACGAGTGAAGTTTATAGCTATAAGTGTCTACATCAAAAAAGATGAAAAACTTCAAAAAACAACCTAATGATGCATCTTGAAGAACTAGAAAAGCAAGAGCAAACCACAGCCAAAATTAGCATAATAAAAGAAATTATAAAGATTTGATCAGAAATAAATTAAATTGAAATGAAGAAAATAATACAATGATCAATGAAACACAAAGTAGATTTTTTGAAAAGTTAAGCAAAATTTACAAACCTTTAGCTAGACTAAGAACAAAAGAGAGAAGATACAAATAAATAAAATCAGAAATGAAAAAGGAGACATTGCAACTGATATTCAACTTCCAAGGATAATTGGTGGCTACTATGAGAAACTATATGTCAAAAAATTGGAAAATCTAGAAGAAATGGACAAATTTCTAGACAACCTTCCAAAATTGAATGAGAAAGAAATGTAAAACCCGAAAACTTCAAAAAAGGGTAACAAGATTGAAGCTGTAATTAAAAGTTTTCTAGCAAAGAAAAGCCTAGGACCCAATGGCTTAACTGCTGAATATTACCAAATATTTAAAAAATACCAATCCTAATCAAACTATTCCAAAAATAGAGGAGAAGGGAATACTTCAAAACTCATTCTGCAAGGCCAGTAATAGTAACAGTACACAGAAAAACACAGAATATTATACTTTCTCTGGTGATGTTTTAGTTTCTTGCTCTTTGTTTTCTGTGTCTCTGTTGCATGTTTTTGGTTTATGGTTACCATGAGACTTGCAAACATTATTTTATAACCCATTATTTTAAGCTAACACTTAACGCTGTTTGCATAAGCAACAAACAGAAAGGCAAAAAGAAGACTAATACAAATTCTATGCCTTAATTTAATCCATCACTTCATAATTTTTATTGTTTCTATGTATATCTTATTGCACTTTCCAAATTTTGAAAGGTCATTGTAGTTATTATTTTTTATTGGTTCATCTTTTAGTCTTTCTACTTAGGACAAGAGTTTACACACAACTGTTACAGTATTATAATATTCTGTGTTTTTCTGTGTACTTACTATTACCAGTGAGTTTTGTACCTTCATGTAATTACTTATTGCTCATTAATGTACTTTTCTTTCTGATTGAAATAGTCCCTTTAACATTTCTCGTAGGACAGGTCTGGTGTTGATGAAAATCCCTCAGCCTTTGCTGGTAAAGTATTTCTTCTTCATGTTTGAAGGCTGTTCTTGTGAGATATACTATACTAGGGCAGTTTTTTCCTTTGGCACTTTAAATATGTCATACCACTCTCTCCTGGCCTGTGAGGTTTCCACTGAAAAGCCTGATACCAGACATATTGGAGCTCCATTGTGTGCTATTTATTTCTTTTCTTTTGCTGTTTTCAGGATCCTTTCTTTATCCTTAATCTTTGGGAGTTTGATTATTAAATGCCTGAGAGTCTTCTTTGTGTTAAATCTGCTTGGTGTTCTATAACTTTTTTTTTAACTTGGATATTGACATTTTTCCCTACGTTTGGGAAGTTCTCTGTTATTATCCCTTTATATAAATTTTTTGTGCCTACCACTTTCTCTACCTCCTCTTTAAGGCCAGCAACTCTTAGATTTGCCCTTTGGAGGCTATTCTTCAGATCCCGTAGGATTATTGTTGTTTTTTCTTTTTTCTCCTCTGACTGTGTATTTTCAATTAGCCTGTCTTCAAGCTCACTAATTATTTCTTCTGCTTTATATCTGCTATTAAAAGACTCTGATGCATTTTTCAGTATGCCAATTGCATTTTTCAGCTCCAGAATTTCTGTTGGATTCTTTTTAATTATTTTAATCTCTTTACTAACTTTATCTGATATAATTCTTAAATCCACCTCTGTGTTATCTTGAATTTCTATAAGTTTTCTCAGCACAGCTATTATGAATTGTCTCTCTAAAAAGTCACGTATCTCTGTTTCTCCAGGATTGGTTCCTTATTTACTTTATTAGGCAAGCTCATGCTTTCCTGGATGATGTTGATTTTAGACGTTCTTTAGTGTCTGAACATTGAAGAGCTTCAGGGGGCACCCCAAGCCCAGTAACGCTGTGGTTCCTGCAGACTTGTAGAGGTACTGCCTTGATGGTCTTGGAGAAGATCCTAGATAAGTCTCTGGATTACCAAGCAGAGACACTTCTTCTCTTCCTCTACTTTCTCCCAAACTAGCAGAGTCTCTCTCCCTCTCTCTTTTCTGAGCTACCTATAGCTGGGAGTTAAATGAAACAAGCACCCCTGTGGCCACTACCACTACAACAACACTGAGTGAGACCTGAAGTCAGCACAGCACTGGGTCTTGCTCAAGGCCTGCTGTAAACACTCCCTGGCTACAGCCTAGGCTCACTCAAGGCCCCGGATTTCTACAATCAGCAAGTGGCAAAGGCAGCCAGGTCTGTATCCTTCCCTTCTGAGCGTTAAGTTTCCCCAGACACCAGGTGGGTCCAGAGATACCATCCAGGAATCAGTGACCTGAGTAAAACACCTTGAAAGTCTATCTGGTGTTCTATTGTACTGCAGCTGAGATGGAACTCAAACCCCAAGATGCAGAGTTGGAACTCAAACCCCAAGATACAGTCCTTACCAATCCTCTCTCCTCTTTCCAAAGACAGAGGAACCTCACCCTGTAGCCACCATCACCACAGTCCACAAGAAGTACTGCCAGACTACCTCCAATGTTCTCTTAAGGCTCAGGGGCTCTTAAAACCGCCTGCGGTGAATGCTGCCTGGCCTGAGACTTACCCTTCAGGGAAGTGAGTACCCTCTGACCTAGGGCAGGTCCAGAAATGCCATCTAAAAGTCAAGTCCCTGAATTGGGGACCCCAAGAGTACACCTGGTGCTCTACACCCCTGTGGCCCTGCTGGTACCTAAGGTGCAAGACAAAGTCTTCTTTACTTTTCCATCTGCTTTTCTCAAGCATAAGGAATCTTGCCCTGTGGCTACCACAGCTGGTAATGTGCTGAATCTCATCTGAAGCCAGCAAAACTCAGAGATTGACCAAAGGCCCTCAACATAGTACCTGAGTATTGCTGATGGTTTTTCAGGGCCCAAGGGCTCTTCAGTTAGCAGGTGCTGTATGCTTCCAGGATTGGGTCTTTCCCTTCAAGGCAGTGGGTTTCCTTCAGGCCCAGTGTATGTCTAGAAATGTTATCCAGGAGCTAGGGCCCAGAATGAGGGCTTCAAGACTCTGACAAGTGCCCTATCCTCCTGTGGCTGAACGGGTATTCTGGATGAAAGACAAAGCCCTCTTTACTTTTTCTTCTCCTCTCAAGCAGAAGAAAGGGATCTCTCTTGGAGCCATGAGCTGTGAAGCATGGGTTAGGGCAGGAGCGAAGCCAGCACTCCCTTAGTCACTCCAGCTTGTGTCTCACTAGGTCACCCCCATCTCCTTGTCCAGTACATTTTCTCTAGGTCCAGTTAACCACTAAGACTTGCCTAAGAGTTGTATTCTTTTTGGCCTACCCTGCCTTTCAAGTTTCCTTAGAGACCCAGAGTCCTTTAGCCCTTAGTGGCAAGGTTTGCAGGAACTCACATTGCAGCCCCTGGGATGGGTGATTTTTTGCCATTACTTTTAATGGTAAAAACCGCAGTAACTTATAATTCCCAGTGGCTAGGGTTGGTTTAAAATGCTCCCTCCATGGATGGTTGTGAGATGAGTTTGGTCTGGTTTCCCTTTCTGTTCTAACAGGACAGCACTGAGTTCAATGCTTCACCATTATTGTGTTCTCATTCCTTTTGCACCCAGAGATGCTCCCTGCACCACATGGCCACTGCTAAGGGATGGGGAGCATGTCAGTGATTCAAGAACATTTTTTCTATCTCTTCAGTGTCTCTTTCAGCTATATGAAGTCAAAACCAGGTACTATGAGGGATCATCTGACTTTCGGTGCTCATGAAGGTGTTCCTTTCTGTGTAGATCGTTGTTAATTTTGTGTCCTTGGTTGGAGGGATTGATCAGTGGAGCCTTCTATTCCACCATCTTGCTCTGCCTCCAATTTATGTTTTTCTATCAATGCCATCCAAATGAATACATCGCTTGGTATGAATTTTCTAAAAAAACCAAAAAATCTTTGACAAACAGATTTATTCTCTTGCTCTCTCTCTCTAATAAAAACACTTAAGTATTCTGCAAATAATAGCATCATTTATAGTTTCAATGAAATAAAAATTTAAATGGAAATGAAGAGTTAAGAATTATTTCTTCTATCATATTTCCAGAAAAATTATTAGCATTAGTGGTCTCTTTTGTTTTTTCTTTAACCTCAAAAAGATAATTGAACATTTACTGACTGTGAAAATAAATGGAAGATAAAGCAATCACAGAGTTTCTGAGAAGCTGAAAACTGCAAAAGCGCATTGTTAAGAAAAGAATAACCTGTATTTTCTTAACAAAAGATGATAAACAATGACATTGAAACAAATTCAGTCTCTATCGCAATAAGCAAAAAAAGCAATAAAGGTCAAGTAAATATGTGTATTGTAATTTATTGTAATAATGACTATTTATTAAATTACACCACGGGATAATATATCTCACAGTCAATTTTAATTAAAACATCTGTTACACTCCAAGGTAGGCTATGAATGATTAACTTTTTTGTATGGCTTTTATTTATGTGCAGTTTTCAATCAAAGATATTCATTAGATATGATGACATCTTAATTTGTTCAAATGAATTAATATCTATTATCAAATAATCAAAAGAAGATCAAAATATGAACAATAATGCAAAAAGAACAAATAACTGCATAGTCAAGGAAGGCCTCCTCAGAGAAAATCAGGACAGCCTGATCATCACTCCAGCATCTCCCATCACAAGACAAGTGCCCTATCTGTCTTTGCTTATTCATCATGGGAGAGGCTAGTGGTTTTATTCCAATAGGAAATGAGTCAATAGAAATTATATTGAAACATTCTGAAATGTAATTTGGGAGACATAACTATATGTAAGTAAATGCATGTACATGGGAGAGTATTTTTATTTCAGTTGTTCCTATTATTTATTTTATTGATACATAATATTTATATATATTTATGGGATACTTTTGATATTTTGGTACATGCATAGAATGTGAAATCATGAAGTCAGGGTATTCAGAGTATCCATCACCTTGAGCATTTATCATATATCTGTTGAAAACCTTTCAAGTCCTCTCTTCCAGCTATTTTGAAGTGTACAGTACATCGTTGTTAACTATAGTTATCCTGCTCTGCTATCAAATAATATTTGGTTGGTGCAAAAGTAATTGCGGTTTTTGCCATTACTTTTAATTGTAAAAACCGCAAAAACTTTTACCACAACCTAGTATAACTTATTCCTTCTATTTAACTGTATGTTTGTGCCCTTGACCGATTTCTCTTCATGCCTATCCCACACACTCTTCTCAGACTCTATCATTCTACCCTCTACCTTAATGAGATCGACACTTTTTTATCTCCCACTTACGAGTGAGAACATATAGTATTTGTCTTTCTGTGCCTGGCTTATCTTACTCAACATAATGACCTCCAATTCTATGATTGTTGATTCAAAGGACAAGATTTCATTTTTTATGGCTGAATATAATTCCATTGTATATATATACCACATTTTCTTTATTCGTTCATCTATTGATGAACACTTGGGTTGATTCCATATCTTTACTATTGCAAATAGTGCTGCAATAAAATGAAGATACAGTATTTTTTTTTTGATACACTGTTTTTTTCCTTTAGAAAAGTTCCCAGTAGTGGGATTACTGGATCATATTGTAATTTTATTTTTAGTTTTTTGAAAAATCTCCATACTGTTTTTCATAGCGGCTGTACTAATTTACATTCCCACCAACAGTGTATAGTTCCCTTTTTTTAAATATTCTGCTAACATCTGTTAGCTTTTGTCTTTTTAATAATAGCCATAGCCATTCTAACTGAGGTAAGATGACATCTCACCATAGTTTGATTTGCATTTCCTTGATAATTAGTGATGTTGAACATTTTTTCATATACCTGTTGGCCATTGGTAGGTCTTTTTTGAGAAATACTTATCCATATCTTTTGCCCACTTTTAATTTTTTTTTCTGTTGAGTCATTTGAGTTTCTTGTATATTCTGGATATTAGTCCCTTGTTAGATACAAAGTTTGCAAATATTTTCTTCCATTCAACAGGTTGTATCTTTACTCTGTTGATTGCTTCCTTTGCTGTGTAGTTTAACCTCTCTTATTTTAATTTTATATATAGTTAACATTTTCTTTGGAACAAGGTCGTGTTAGTATGAAGATTCTTAATCTATACTGAAAATAATGTATTTTTACTTGAGAATAATAATAAGAAGAAGAAGGAGGAGGAGAAGGAGGAGGAGGAAGAGGAAGAGGAGGAAGGAGGTGGAGAACGTAGAGAAGGGGAAAAAGAAGACAAAAAGATACATATTCTCCATCTTAGGAGATGAGCTAAAAATAATCGAGTAATTTTCTGGATTCATGATCATTTGTTTACACAAGTCATTTTTATATACTTTCTAATGTATTTTCAAAGAATAAAATTGCATCTAACTTAATGTAAAGATCGAATTGTCTTTTATTAGCAATTGTAGAACTGGGCAGAGTATCATTTTATAAAATAGAATGGATTCTCCACTGCGTATGGTAGAACAGTTTTTGTACATAATAAAAAGGAAAATATATTTTTTAAAATAGTGGATTGGCTAACATCAGCTTACTCTATGTTACTTTCCTTTTAAGAGCTAAAGCAGAGGAGACTCTTATTATAATATAATGGTTCAGGTTAGCTGGGCCCTTTCTTATTGGTTGCTGTGAATCTCCGGTTTTCAGGAAAAAATAGTCTGTGAGGCTTTACTTGCTTGCTTAAAGTTTCAGTTTAATTATGTGGCACTTAGCATGACAGACTCTATTTTTGTTTTTTTCTGTTGTGACCTACCACAGGAGCTGACTCCAAAACAATGGCCTCTCAAAATTTTATTTAACATTATCAATAAGTCAAGACCATTGAAATGAATACATATTTTAGAATAAGCCAATGTAATACAATAATGTTTATTCTGTGAACTAAAACAAATTTGTGAATAAAATTATACAAGAATGCACAATAATAAAATCAAGTTCAACAAAAAACAAAGGCTTACATCTATATCATACCGTGCAATTTGGAATCTTTACCTATATTAAATTTCAATAATTTTTCAAAATTTTTTACCTGTTTTCGTGTTTATCCAAGCTTTCTTTCTTATCGTTTTAACATGCCTACTCAATATTTGTTCATTTGTTTAAACATTATACTTTAAAATTATGGTGTAATAAGTACAAAATAAAAACTCAATTACCAGATGTAATTATTTTACTTCTAAACTATCTGAACAGCTAATCACTTGGAACTGACAATGAAGATTTTATCCTGTCACCAAAATATTCATGTAAATATATTATTCTATTATATTTGTTACTGTTGATTCAAATTTGCAGTTACAGATATTATAGAAATACACAGGATAGTTTTAACACCAGTTTTGATTTAATGGCTTTTTTATTGACAATTGCGAAATGTACGTGGTGTTAATTTTCCCATGTAACAGGACTTTTCCCCACAATCATTTGTAATCAGAGATGTCAGGAGCAGCCTCGAGAAAAAACATGCAATGATCCTTACCAAGTGCACGGCCAATTTTTGAACCCGACTTAGGTAAATCCCTCCAAAACTAAAATAAATACTTAAAGCATTTTAAAAATTAAATTACCATTAATATAGATGCCATAATTGGTATGTATGTCTTATTTTTATTCACAGTTTCCCAGTGGAAACCAGGTATAAGTTCCTGCTCCTCTGCACACTATAAGAAGAACTTTGCCATCAGTTTATGATCTAATTAGTCCATCTACATGTTTATTACTCAGGAGGCACTTTGCCTGACAGAGAGAAGCCATAAGGTAAAAACAGTTTGCAGCCTGTCTGCTCTTGAGCCACAGTAACTATCACCTCCTGTTTCTTCTCTGTTCCAGGCAACATGCAGAGGGGGAGAGAGGAGAAAAGTGGCAAACTCTGACCCCTCACAAGGAAATAAACTGTCTTAGACATTCAAGGAAATCCACAATGTTTATCTATAATAAGTTACTTTCATTTTATTCTGTCATATTTCAATACAGTCTGACTTTCTTTTCTTTATTTTTTATATTTAAGAGAGGTTTTATGACTGTTACATTGTTCAGATTAACAGGTGATATTCTAAATTTAAAGTTATTATGGGCCACGCATGGTGGCTCACACCTGTAATCCCAGCACTTTGGGAGGCTGAGGTGGCCAGATTACGAGGTCAGGAGTTCGAGACCAGCCTGACTAAAATGGTGAAACCCTGTCTCTACTAAAAATACAAAAATTAGCCGGGTGTGGTGGCACGTGCCTGTAATCCCAACTACTCAGTAGGCTGAGGCAGGAGAATCTTTTGAACCTGGGAGACGGAGGTGGTAGTAAACTGAAATCGCGCCACTGCATTCCAGCCTGGGCAACAGAGGAAGACTCTGTCAAAAAACAAAAAGTTATTATTATGAATGTATTAACTTTTAAAAGAATTGAGGGATTTCAATGGAAACATTTAGTTTACATATCAATCTATGATAGTGATAAGGAGAGCATTGCCAGGTTTGGGACCTAACTAAGGAAGATTTCAAGTGTGTGCTAATGAGCTGGATTGTCATTGCTTAAGCATGCTTAACTCAAGCAACTCTTAAAGGCTGGAACAGATGGAAATGTTATTTAAGTACATGGCTGTAGCCCAGATATAAAATAAGAAGTTATTGGACTCAGCATTGTTTTTATTGTGTGATTTTTAAGTTAACGTGAGCACAGAGCTTTGCTGCAGAAAGTTTTAATTTTAATTACAAATGGCATTCCACTACATTGCACTTTTTAAAAATGAGGTATTTCAATTCTGTTAAATGAGTGTTTTAAATGAAAAGTTTTAACATTGGTATAGAAAGCTCTATATTACATGGCTAGGTTGGAGAAATATGGAAGGACGAATTACAATTATTTTGCTGTAGTGTTTTTCTTTCTTTTTTTTTGATACCTCATAGTTTTACATTCTGATGATTTAGATCAGCATAAAACAGATCTTTCTTTCCCCACCCTTATTCCTATCTAATCTAGTGGATCCTCTGCTATGAATTCAGTCATGACTATTGAATGCATTTTGTTTTGAAACCAAACATTTACTCACACTTTGAAGAGTTATATGGCAACTACTTTATTCTTTTTTGTGGAGGAGGGTGGGACAGGGTCTCACTCTGCCACCCAGACTGGAGTGCAGTGGCACAATCTTGGCTCACTGCAACCTCCACCTCCCACCTCAGCATCCGGAATAGCTGTGACCACAGGTGCATGCCACCAGGCCTGGCTAATTTTTCTATTTTTTATAGACACAGTGTTTCACCATGTTGCCCAGGCCGGTCACCAAATCCTAGGCTCAATTGATCTACTTGCCTCAGCCTCCCAAAGTCTGGGAATACAGGCATGAGCCACCGCGCCCAGCCTTGCAACTACTGAATTCTATTTTTTTTTTTTTTTTTGAGATGGAGTCTCCCTGCGTCGCCCAGGCTGGAGTGCAATGGCACAATCTCTGATCACTGCAACCTCCGCCTCCCAGGTTCAAGCAATTCTCCTGCCTTGGCCTCCCAAGTAGCTGGGACTACAGGCCTGCGCCACCACGCTCGGCTAATTTTTATATTTTTAGTAGAGGTGGGGTTTCACCACGTTGGCCAGGGTGGTCTCGAACCCCTGACCTCAAATGATACCCCCGCTTCGGCCTCCCAAAGTGCTGGGATTACAGGTGTGAGTCACTGCACCCAGCCCAACTACTGAATTCTTAAAATCCATATGCTAACCATCTAATAACAAACAATAACAATAACAACAGGAATATTCATTGATGAAAAATATGAATTCTGCGGCAGTCTGTGACAGCTTGAAGCAGTTAACCAAAATAAGTCTCTTTTTGAAATTTCTTAACCTTAAAACAAAAAGTGAGAGGCCATTTAAGGTAGATTCTTCAACATGGGACGTTGCTCAGAGATTTAATTTTTTCTGCTTCTATTTCAGAAGCATAATTAATGTGTCGACGTTAACATTTCAGATATCTCTTCTTGGACCATATATTGTGCAATTATCAAGTTTGGAGCGCTCAATAATTGCCTCTCCACAGCACCTCTTAAATGAAACACTAGCTCTGACAAAGTTTACAACAATTAAAAATGCCGTGTCACTGATTTTTATATTAATATAGGCATGATTTTGTATTCTGATGCTACAATCTCCTTAATACTTAGACATGTAAATGAACTGTCCTCAAATATGAAGATTATCATATTACAGTGACTCTGGCCAAAATTAATGGCGGTTTTCAGTAGCAAAGAAAGAATATCAATGGAGGCCAGGCGCGGTGGCTCACGCCTGTAATCCTAGCACTTTGGGAGGCCGAGGCGGGTGGATCATGAGGTCAGGAGATCGAGACCATCCTGGCTAACACAGTGAAACCCTGTCTCTACTAAAAATACAAAAATATAGCCGGGCGTAGTGGCGGGCGCCTGTAGTCCCAGCTACTCGGGAGGCGGAGGCAGGAGAATGGCGTGAACCCGGGAGGTGGAGCTTGCAGTGAGCCGAGATCGCGCCACTGCACTCTAGCCTGGGAGGCAGAGGGAGACTCCGTCTCAAAAAAAAAAAAAGAGTATCATTGGAATTTTAGGCACAATATTGCATACACCTCTATGCATACGTATATATGCGTATGTGCATGTGTGTGTGTTCTATTAATCTAGTTTATCTGAAGGATTTCAATAGCCAGAAATTATACACACTATGGTATGGAAAGAAAGTAAAGCAAAAACTGCAGATATTCTTATAAACCTAATGTGTCAAATAAAAATTGTGACACAATCAGGTATTATGTTCTATGGTGCCTATTAAGATATATAATCTCAACACCCAAATTGCTTCCATCCATGCTTTTGGAAAATAAAGGATAGCTCTGGTCTAGAACATTTAGACCTTCATACACCAAATATTTTGGAAGAAATATTATTTTTCATTTTTAAGATGTTGTTTCCCACACTTCGAAAGGATAACCTCAAGCTTTGGCTCAATAAGTGAATCTAATGTAAAGAGTTTCTGTAAGTGAGTTTGTTCATCTCAGCAAAATCTATATAAGGCAATAATGAACATCTGAGAAAGTGCAGCACATCATTTAACACAATTCAATCTTTTGGACTAGCTTGAAATGGAAGATGAATTACCTTTTATTTCTAGAGCAAAATCTCAGCCATGCCTTAAGGTCAATAAAATACAAAATGCACATGATGATTTATATATCTTTATTGTTGAATTGTTATTAAAACATTTCAAATTAATAAATTTTACAAATCAAATAACCTTCCAAGCATATGCTGCTAAATATGTATGTTTTTAGCTAGAGTGAGGACTGTTTGAAATAATGAATCTCAGAGTTTAAGATATTGGTTGAAAATATGGTAATTCAAGAGTAGGTGAGCTAGCAACGATGGAATCTGCACTAAATCTTTCTGTTCCTGATATTTGGTCTTAATCTAATGAATACATGGATGAGAGGAATCCAATACATCTATCTGTTTCCCACTTCTGTTTGCTGAAAATCATCATAGAGATTCTACTTATAATATGTTGTCTGCAATAGAAAAATCTGTGAGCTGCAGCTGCAGATCCATAGAACAAAACATACATTGTTGTTAGCACCTAAAATCAACTGGTAATTCTATATTTATTGTCGTTTCTTCTGTTTTCCCCATTTTTATGATCTTAACTTTAAGAAAAATTAAGCTTCCTTAATATATTTGTTTTTAATTTCTGTGCTTTAATTTTCTAAAAGAAATCAAAACTTGTCAAGTATTTACTAACTTAATACAATAAAGTATTCCCTATGCTATAAATAATTAGTTGGTTGGCACAATCACATACTGTTTACAAATGCAGTAACATTTTTATAAATTAAAACCTCAAGTCCAAATCTGTTATATATTCTAAATTAGAAGCCCAGAAATCTTTTAGATTTTTACCTAACATGACAGACTATTCTAAACACTGAAATTGAAATTGCTAAATTTTATATATATATATGGCCTTAATCTGTTTTTTTTCTGTTGCTATAAAACAGAATACCACAGACTGAGTGACATATAATAAACAGAATTTTATCAGCTCACAGTTCTGCAGGCTGGTGTATTAGTCTGTCTCACACTGCTAATAAAGACTTACCTGAGAATTGGTAATTTATAAAGGAAAGAGGTTTAATTGACTCACAGTTCCATATGTCTGGAGAGGCCTCACAATCATGGTGGAAAGGGAAGGGGAAGCAAGACATGTCTTACATGGCAGCAGTCAAGAGAGAGCTTGTGCAAGAAAATCCCATTTATAAAACCACCAGATCTCATGAGACTTATTCACTGCCAGGAGAATAGTATGGGGGAAATTTCCCGCATGATTCAATTATGCCCACCTAGCACTGCCCTTGGCATGTGGGGATTATTACAATTTAAAGTGAGATATGGGTGGGGATGCAGCCAAACCATATCAACTGATAAGTCCAATATTAAGGCCTCAGAGAGCTTGGTGTCTGGTGAGGGCCCAGCCATCCCTCATAAGATGGCATCTTGAACGCTGCGTCCTCTGGTGGGTGGGGAACACTGCCACACAGGGCAGAACAGAAGAGCTGAGAGAGAGTTCACTCCCAAAAGCCCCTTTTGAAGGCATTTAACCCACTCATGAGGGTACAAGCATAAAGATACCCTTATAAAAGCAGAACTTACTGATATTCTTTCAATCTAGAAGAAATTACAAAACAAAATATGGAGTTTGTAAAAATACTAAGGTCCAGGCTCGACAGCAAAGAAAAACATAAAAGCAATGTTTAGCTGTGAGTTATCATATTAAAAGTGTTTTTAAAAAGAGAGTTTATAATTTTAAACTAAACTAGTAGGGAAAACAGCTGACCACTCCTGAAAATAATAGAACAGAAGACGAGATGAAGAGGTAGTGGAAGTTATTCAAGCCAAGCACTTTTATATGCAAGGCAGAGATAAGATTAGTAGGAGCAAATAGCAGAATTATTGATTTTCAGTAGATTCCTAGGGTGGGAAGCTTCGAAATATCCAGAGCACCATCAAAACATGAAATGCACTGTATTGCTGAGGTCTCATTTCTTTTAAACATGATTTCATCCCCACCCATGATTCATTTTCTGTATGTCAAGCTTCCTAGGTCATGCTCCAAGGTGTTGGAGTTTTAAGAGACCAACAGCATGACAATCTTCCATTCTCTACCTACATTCAAACATGCTGGTCATAGTTTGAAAAATAAAGACCAAATTATAATTATAATGATTATTTAATTTTACTTTAAATTCAGGGGCACAAGTCCAGGTTTGTTACATAGGTAAACTTGTGTCATGGGGGTTTGTTTTACTGATTGTTTCATCACTCAGGTATTAAGCCTAGTACCCAATAGTTATTTTTCCTGATCCCCTCCATTCTCCCACCCTCCAGCCTCTGAGAGGCTCCAATGTATATTGTTTCCCTCAATATAAATTATTTTATTACAAAGACCTGTACATGTATGTTTATTGCAGGCACTATTCACAATAGGAAAGACATAGACTCAACCTAAATGCCCATCAGTGATAGACTGGATAAAGAAAATGTGGTACATACACAAAATGGAATACCATGCAGCCATAAAAAGAATGAGATAATGTTCTTTACAGAGACATGGATGGAGCAGGTGGCCATGATCCTTAGCATACTAACACAGGAACAGAAAACCAAATACCACATATTCTCACTTCTTAGAAGTGGGAGCTAAATTATGAGAACACATGGACAAATTATTTTTACTATGCCAAAAATTCAGTAGTGAGCAGGCTTTTTGTAGAGAAGGTTTAGTCATTCTTCACTAGGAACTTAGATGGATTTTCCACTCAATTACAAACATAGCTGGAAAACAATAAGCATTGTGTGAGAAGAGACAGGTCCATTTTACTGCCTGCTACAGAACAGGTCCCAAAAGCTAGTTTCTATAGGATGGTATATTCCAAAATTTTTGAATATCAATGCAAATACTCAACATTAATGAAATCACATCTATAAAGTTGTCAACACCTTTTACTGGCATCTTATAAGACTTCCTAAATATCAGCTATTAATCGGTGTTTCTGTCAATTTTATGGAACTATATGGGAGAGGACGCTTATGTTGTTATTGAAGAGTTTATTCTTTCTATTTTCAACAAGAAGCAAGATAATTTAGTATCAAGGTAGAAAATAACAAATGCAATTACCTTATTTTAATCATACTAACTGAAAAAATGCAATTCTTAAATATGATGACCATCAGTTGACCACAAGCGGATATAAAATGTACTAGTGTCATATTGTTTTAATATATTATTGAAGGTACTACTGTACTAATGTCACCTTGTTTTAATATTGTCCATTTGGGTAATAGAAAATTCAAATGTCATTTGTCCTGTGGAAGAAAATAATAGAGGTGTGAGGAAAGATAGGATTTATCTGGAATTGTAGAGCAATGCTCAGAAAGACATGGCACTGTAGCTATTTGCAGCTCGAATTATCTGTCAATAGTGCCTGGATTGAAAGCAATCTATTATGGTGAATGATATCGCTCTTCCTAACTCATGTGTGGAAACCTTAACCTCCAATGTGCCTATATTTGGAGACAGTGACTCTACAGAGGTAAGTAAGGTTCAATGAGGTCATAAAGATGGGGAGCTGATTTTTAAAAAAATGTATATATGTCCTTACGAGAAGGGGCACAAGAGCTCTTTCTTTCTCTGAGAGCTCAGAGAAAAGATCATCTAAGAACACAGCAAGAAGGTGATTTCCTACAAGTCAAGAAGAGAGGCCTTACCAGAAACCAACCCTAAATGCACCTTGATCTTGAACTTCTACCTTCCAAAACTGTGAGAATAAACTTCTGTTGTTTAAGCCACCCAGTCTGTAGTATTTTTTTATGTCATCCAGAGTACATTAACACACCATATCTGTGTGTTCTCGCTTTCCCGTAACATAAGTGTAGTATACTAACCTTCACTGCGACTCTTGGATGAGGTTCCGGGCATTAAAGATGAGAAAATGATTCCCAGAAAACTTGCATATCTCTCTATGGGTTCCACAACTGGTGAAACACAGATCATTTCCAACACAGCAAATTGTACATAGCCTCTGTAGTTTTTTTTTTAAATTTTTACTTTTTCATTTTATTAAATTTTTGGAGAACAGGTGGTACTTCTTTACATGAATAAGTTCTTTAGAGGTGATTTCTGAGATTATGGTGCACCCATCACCTGAGCAGTGTACACTGTACCCAGTGTGTAATCTTTTATCTTTCGCCACCCACCCCCACCCTTTCTCCCAAGTCCCCAAAGTCCAATGTATCATTCTTATGCTTTTGTGTCCTTATAGCTTAGTTCCCACATATGAGTGAGAACATAGGATGTTTGATTTTCCATTCCTGAATTACCTCGCTTAGAATGATAGTCTCCAGTTCCACCCAGGTTGCCGTGAATGCTGTTATTTCATTCCTTTTTATGGCTATGTAGTATTCTATCATATTTTATATATATATTATATATAATATATATAAATATTATAAATATTTGGTATTTTAATATAATATATATAAATTATATGTATATAAAACATATACATAAAATATTATATATAAAACATATATATATATATATATGTTTTCTTTATCCAGTCACTGATTAATGGGCATTTGGACCAATTCTGTATTTTTGCAATTGCAAACCGTGCTGCTATAAACATGCATGTGCAAGTACCTTTTTCATATAACTTCTTTTCCCCTGGGTAGATACCTAGTAGTGGGATTGTTGGATCAAATGGCAGATCTGCTTTTAGTTCTTTAAGAAATTTCCACACTGTTTTCCATTGTGGTTGTACTAGTTTACATTCTTACCCTTTAATCCCTTTTGTATACTATGTCTTTGTTTTGTTTTTCATAGAAATTTCATTTTTAAAACACTTTTAAGACTGCTTGTTTATGCTGATGTAATGTGGGAGTAAACAAGCATGCTAAGTAAAACTTTGTTATTAAAATCATTTAGAGGACTGGTATCTTATATATTTCTTGAATATCTAAAAATAAATGAAAAATATCTGATTTATTAAGAAGGTGTATTATTAGGCAAGGTACACAAGACTCAAGACACAAGACCCAGATATTCGTAACATTCCCTTCAGCTTGACCAAACTTTAGAGAAGTTGCTTATTTACTCCAAGCCGCTGAGCTCCTTTTACTTAGGGCATTTACTTTAGAAAATGTCCAAATGCAAATTATTTCTCTTTCCCTTAGGCATGCAAATATTTTCTAAGCCTCTCACCAGTTTTACAACCCAGGAATGTCTTTCTCAAGACCTGGGAACCATCCCTTTGAAATGTAATCATCAAGAAACACGGCACTCCTGTCTCCCAGTCTCTATAAGAGTACCCCTCTAACTTCTATAAGCACTAATTATTATAACACAGGTGAGCTAATTCCATTGACCAACTCCAGTGTCATTCTTCGCTACAGCTCACTCCAGCACTTAAAATATAGAAGTATCTCCTTGTTATCCTCGGTTTCACTTCCCATTCTTTCAGTTACCTACAGTCAACCACAGTCCAAAGTATTAAATAGAAAATTCTGGTAATAAACAATTCAGTTTTAACTTGTGTGCTGTTATGAGTAGTGTAATGAAATTTTATGCCACTTCACTTGGGACATGAATTATTCCTTTCTCCAGCGTGTCCATGCTGTCTACAGTACCCACCCGTTAGTCACTTGGTAGCCATCTTGGTTATCAGATCTACTGTCATGGTTCACAGTGCTTGTTTTGAAGTAACCCTTATTTTACTTAATAATGGCCCCCAGAAATGCAAAAGTAGTGATGCTGGCAATTTGAATATGCCAAAGAGAAGCCAGCGGTAAAGTGCTTGCTTTAAGTGCAAAGGTGAAAGTTACCAATTTCCTAAGGAAAAAAAATTATACACTGAGGCTACTAAGATCTACAAACGTTTTATCACTGAGATTTTGAAAAAAGAAAAATAAAGTGGTGCTAGTTTTGATGTTGCATCTCAAACTGCAAAAGGTACTTACCACGGTGTGTGATAGACATTTGAAAATATTTATTATATTATTTATTCAATACATATTTTATTCAAAATAATATTGTGAATTTAAATATAAATTTAAAAGCTTCTGCCATCAGGAATTTTAGAAAAGTATGAGAGAAAAAACCTACATATTCAAAACATCAATATAGGATATAAATATAAACATGAACTTATAAAAATTATTTAAATATGGAATTTTAATCAGCTGTAAGTAAAAACAGACATATAAAAGTCTTAAATAAAACATGATTTTAGGCAAAGGAAACATTATCTTTACATGCATCAGAAGTTAAAGTATATTGTTCTTTAAAATATGCTTCTTCACAATCTAAGAAACAGAAAGTGTGTTAAGGAACATAGATGTAAAGGTTAGTTTGTTCATGTTTTCTAAGGATTTTAGATGCACAAAGCTGCCTAATAACCTTGTTATCTAATAACCTTGTTCATCTCAAATGCATTACTATATAAATACATATTTATACACATATATACATATACTATGCATATAATTATGTATACATATAATTTGTATAATTATATATAAATTATATACATATAATATGTATATAAATATATATTTGTATATATGTATATATTTATGTATACAAATGTGTATATATGTGTATATATTTAATAAGTTTCTTTTTCTTGCATAGCAAAGTATGTCTTTTACAAAGATGAATTTGGAAAACTCACTTTACTACATGTCTTAACTAAACTCTCATTAGGAACAGATGGTCCACTCAATAAAAATCACTGAAGAATAATTTAAAAGTATGAGCAACCAATGAATAAGGATGAAACACCCAGGGACTTGCAACAGTGAAGAATCTCAGACTTAAAACAATGGAAATTCTACATCTAGGTTGAAAGGCACAAGAGGAGGAAATGCTTACTGAAACTAGTAAGATCTAAAGCTGTGGAAGAAGGCATCTAAAAAAGGCTACTGACAGGAGCCAAGATCTTAGATGGTGAATATAACCACTCTCAACACCCAATCCAAAATAGACTAAAGGCTACACACACACACCTATAGTTTTCCTCCATGCTGTTTAGCTGAAGCCAAGAAAAGCAAGAGAGCAAGGATTTACCTTGATGAAGGTCAGCAAGCTCTATCTCTCTGGAACACAGATAAGATAGAATGTTTAGAGGATGAATCTTAATAGCAAATTTAAAATATGTAGCTTTTTTTAATCTCTATAGACATTTTTTACTTAATATAATAATACAAGCAATATGATTATCTTCAACATCATTTTCAGATTGTTTTCAACGTTTCAACTTGATATCACCGATACAGAAATGGTCAAAACTTGCAATAAATACATATGCACACACATACACAAACACAGAAACACACACATATACATGTTTAAATTATTTGTTAAATTATAAGCTAAAAATCTCAGCATTTGAGTCAAAGCATTTATATTTTTGGTTTCCATGCTCAGACTTCTAAATGGCATTACATTTCTTTAATTACAAGCAACATCCAAGGCAATGAAAGTTTATTCTCAAATAGCAATTTACATAGACACTGAATTTTTGGGGGATAAAATAAGTGACTGTAAAATTTTAGATGAGTTTAGAGATTATTGAGTCCAAAGTTTTCTGTTAGGAGATAAAGATATATGTTTCTCAAATATTAGAGGCAGTAAGTTAATTGTTCCTATGCAACTAAATCCCCTTCATATTCTCATTCTGCTATTAGAAAATTTTTCTGTGCTCTTTTCACCCTCTCAGTCTGAGCAAATTTCCTCTTGACCTAAACATAAAGGGTTAACTCTCACAAATTCTTCCTTTTCTCAGTAAAGTCTCTCTATAATGGTCCCTATCCATTATCTCCATGTTTCTTATGTTTCTTTCTTTCTTTTTTTTTTTTTTGTGAGCAACAAGGCTGTTTATTTCACCTGGGTGCAGGCGGGCTGAGTCCGAAAAAGGAGTCCACAAAGGGTGATGGGATTATCATGAGTTCCTATAGGTTTTGGGATGGGCGGTGGAGTTGGGAGCAATGTTTTGTGGGCAGGGGGTGGATCTCACAAAGTACTTTCTCAAGGGTGGGGAGAAGTACAAAGAAGCTTCTTAAGGGTGGGGGAGATCACAAAGTACATTGATCAGTTGGTGGGGGCAGAAACAAATTACATTGGTGGAATGTCATCAGTTAAGGCTATTTTCACTTCTTTTGTGGATCTTCAGTTGCTTCAGGCCATCTGGATGTATACATTCAGGTCACAAGGGATATGATGGCTTAGCTTGGGCTCAGAGGCCTGACATTCCTATCTTCTTATATTAATAAGAAAAATAAAACAAAATAGTGGTAAAGTGTTGGGGTGGTGAAAATTTTTGGGGGTGGTATGGAGAGATAATGGGCTATGTTTCTCAGGGCTGCTTCCAGCGGGATTAGGGGTGACGTGGGAGTCTAGAGTGGGAGAGATTAAGCTGAAGGAAGATTTTGTGGTAAGGGGTGATATTTGTCATATAGGGTTATTGGTGATGGCCTGGATGCGGTTTTGTATGAACTGAGAAACTAACCTAAATGAAAGACACAAGGTCCGAATAAAAGGAGAAAAATAGGTATTAAAGGACTAAGAATCCATGTTTCTAAAAAAGTGTTGACATTTTCACCAGTCCTTTTTCACATGATGTAGAATCCAGCTCCTCTCTTCTCTTTTAGGACTTGGTTCCCCCAGTAATTTGTTTTTGTTCTATATCCTTTCTCTCCAGGTCAGGGGTAGGTAGTGCAAAGGCCAAGCAAAAAGCTAAAGCTTAAGCAGTATTTTCATAGTCCTGTAGTGTGAGGGAAGAAAAATATGGTCCAGTTGTAGCAAAGAGAGGAAACTTTGGTAGACAAACTATATAGACTTTTAAATAAATGATGAAAGTTAGATCATATATTGCCATTGGAAAACAAATAAATAATTGGTAAATGAATCTCAATCTATATTTAAGGCTAAAAAAAATAAAAATTAGGCAGATTTTAAATCTAAATGTGAAAGAAAGCTAAAATAAATAAGCTTTTAGGATATAAGACTATCTTTCTATACTACACTTATTTTAAAAGGGCAGAAAATATGAAAAAGGGAAAAATTGAATTGATAAATTAGACTTATCTAAAAATAAAAACTTCTAATTATGAAAAGACACAGTATTTGATAGAGTGAAAAGGCAAGCCACTGATTGGGAGAAAATATTTTGCAGTTTATAATATCAAATTTATATCTAGAATGGATAAAGACCTTCCAAAAATCCATAAAAATAAAACATATACAATTAGAAATAAGCTAAAAAACTGAACTCACTCTTCATCTAGTAAGATACTCATATAGCTAATGAGAACATGAAAGGTATTTATTCTAAATTATTGCACATCAGAGAAATGTAAATTACAACTCAAATGAAATATCACTTCACAACCACCAGAAAGACAAAAATTGAAAAGAATTATCAAGGTAAAGGGAAACTTTAACTCTCACATGCTCCTGATGGCAGTAAGTATTGGTCCAAACATTTGTAAAACATGCTGGCAGTATTTTGTACATTTAATATAAAATTAATATTTTGATAACAAACATTTTGAGAAAAGGAAGTGGTGACATTTTCAATCTTTTAAAGCAATCTTGCCACACCTGACCACTTTTTAAATTGAGGACCTTCTTTTTATCCCTGACTGGCAACATTGACCCTGGATTTTTGAGATGACATTAATTGTGTGACGCTATTTCCCCGCTATCTCCCTGAGGTTTATTTTTTTAATTTTTTTTTTAATTTGTCATTCTTATTGTAGGTATTTAGTCAGTTGACCCCTAGTCCCCCCGACTGGGCAAAATTAGACTCCTTCATATATTTAGTCTTTGAATTCTGTCACACGATTTGACATGATGTAGGCTATGGTTTGAATCTTTGTTCCCATCCAAATCTCATGTCAAATTGTAAGACCCAGTGTTGGAGGTGGAGCCTGGTGGGAGGTGATTGGATCACAGGGACACTTTCTCATGAATGGTTTAACACCGTCCCTCTTGGCGCTGTTCTTGCGACAGTGAGGGAGCTCCCATGAGATCTGGTTGTTTAAAAGTGCGCAGCGTCTCCTCCACTCTTCTTCCTGTCCCTGGCCACGTGGCGCCTTGGCTCCCTCTTCACTTTCCACCAGGAATGGAAGTTTCCTGAGGCTGCCCCAGATGCCAAGCAGATGCTGCCATGCTTCCTGTACAATGTGCAAAACCATGAGCCAATTAAACCTTTTTTCTATGTAACTTACCAAATCTCAGGTATTTATTTATAGCAATACGAGAATGGACTAACGCAATGTACTAAATCTATTATTCTGGATGAATCTGCAAATATTATCTGCGTCCAAATGTCATGGTCAGTCAGGGACAATCTTTCTTCTTTTTACCTGGGGTCTTCCATTTCATCTTCTCTCAAGTGACCACGAAGTACATTAGAAGAAACAACCAACTGGAAGACAGGACTAGGAAGTTGCTCTGATACTAAGATACAGTTTCAGGCCGGGCGCAGTGGTTCATGCCTGTAATCCCAACACTTTGGCAGGCTGAGGCGGGCGGATCATGAGGTCAGGAGTTTGAGACCAGCCTAGCCAACATAGTGAAACCCACATCTCTACTAAAAATATAAAAAATTAGCCGGGCATGGTGGTGGGTGCCTATAATCCCAGCCACTCAGGAGCTGAGGCAGGAAAATTGCTTGAACCCGGGAGGTAGAGGTTGCAGTGAGCTGAGATCACACCATTGCACTCCAGCCCAGGCTACAGTGTGAGACTCCATCTCAAAAAAAAAAAAAAAAAAGATACAGTTTCAAAGGCAAATGTAACCACTGAGAACAACATGGTTAGATAAAAATACTGTGCGTTTGTAAACAAATTGTAAAGTGCTAATCCAAAGATCTCTGGAATATTTTATGTAGTTGTAAGTAGGAGAAAGGCTGACTGAAATTCTAATTTAATAAATTCGTTGTTAGCCAACATTAACATTGAATACTCTTATATGACTAGTAGTAATGACAGTGGTGATCAGCAGGCTGAGAAGTATATATAACACTTATAACTTCAGAGCCACTTGAATCAATCTCTTCTTTATCTAAGTAGAAAAAAAATTCCCAAGGGAAAAAAACTAGCTCTTTTTCTCTGCAGTGAATATGCTCATGGAAGGCAGACTCTGTTTCAATCTCATTATCAAAATAATTGGTTAATGTAACTGTAGGAATTTTTAATTGTTAATGTTTCAAAGACAGAAAGAATTTATTGTGTAATGGTGGTAAATGGAGGGTCTTTATCAAAAGGACTGAAATTGTGTATATTAACAATGCTCAGTCAAGCAATCCTCCCACTGCAGCCTTCAGAGTAGCTGGAACTACAGGCATGTGCCACTGCACCTGGTGAAATAACAACATTCTTTAAATTCACAGCCTTGTTTCAATTCTTTTTATTATTCTTTAATAAGCCACCTGAGTTCTAGCCATGATGGAGTAAGAGAGCAGATTGGCCTTCTCAACTTAAACTTAAAAACTGGGAGAGTTAAGGCCAAGGTAGCTGACTGGAAGCACCTAGTGTGCACTGTTCTCACAGAAAGGAGACAGAGTGAAGAGTAAACACTAGCTGTTCAACTGGATCATCCAGAAAGCCACATTGGGATTCCTCAAGGAAGCAATGCAACCCACACAGAGCAGAGAGGAGTGAAACAGGACAGCCGCCCACCCAGGACTGTGTGGAGCCAAGGGAAACTCCCCATCGTGGGGCAATGGTGAGTGAGCAAGAGTCCCCAGGGACCCACACTTCTGCCATGAAGCTTCGCAATTCTGGGCACAGGTGATCCTCCCTAACCTGCAACTGCTAGAGCCTTCAGGCTGACAACGAGGGTCATGGAGTCTGGGCAGAGACACCACTCATGCCCACATGAAGCCCCAAGGGCCACCGACGGCTAAGCACTCTCACACCAGCTGTCGTAGCCCTGCCAAAGGAGGCCAAGCTCTCTTGCATACCCTGAGGACAGGGGCCACATCCATAGATGAACTGCAGGCTTCGCCTCTGCTTACCAGGCAAAGACCACTGGCCAGGGTCACCAATGCAGCCACCACACCCCACCTGAGCACTCAAGCTGGTAGTAGCTCTGCATTTTTCTGGAATGGCATTCCCAGAGGTCACCAACAGGCCTGCCATGGTGGCCACAGCCACAGTCTCCACCCCTACTGCCCTCAGGCTGGCAAGGGAGCAAAAAACCCCAAAACTATTATAGGCCTCCAGCACACTGCAGCTGCCTTACAGAAAAGCAGCCAGATTGTTTTTGACGTGAGTCCCTGACTCTGCTACTCCCCACTGGTCAGGATCTCCCAACCTGGGACCTCAGTACAGCCGTCCTGCCCTGTCTGATCACTTCTATCAGTGGCTGCTCTGCATTTTTCTGGGGAGGAAATCCCAGAGACAGCCGACAGGCTCTCTGCCATAGCCACTGCATCAGTACTGCCCTTGCTGCCCTTGGGCTAGGGAAATAATAAAGATTGATAGGGTTGCTGACACCTCCAGCACACGGCAGGCAACCGCCATAGGAAAGGAGACAGTCTTTTTTCCTGTGAGCCCCTGATCCTTTGCTCTTCACAGAGGAGGGCACCCAGCTTGGGCCTGCAGCACAGCCATTCAATCCACAGCTGTACATTCCCACTGGCAGCAGCTTTGTGTCTCTCTGGGGTGAAGTTCCCAAAAGTAACTGCAAGCTCATCTACTACTACTGCTGCAATGGTACCCACCCTTGCTGCCACCACACTGGGGAAGGAAAAAAGAGCCTGAGTACTTTACTCACATCTGCAGCACACCACAGCACCCTACAGAGAAGAAAGAGGTCAGACTGTCTTCCCTGCAAGGCCCCGGCACAACCAGCTCTTCACCAGGAAATGCCTCCAGCTTGGGTCTGTAACACAGCCTTCCCATCCCTGGCTGACCACTCCTATTTGTAAGAGCTCTGCATCTCTTTGGGGTGAAGCCCCAAGAGACAACAGAAAGGCCCTCTGTCATTGTCACTGCCAAGGAAGTCCCTTCCCTGGTCTGCTTCCAAGCTGAGAAGGAAACAAAAAGCCTGAGCTCGCCCCTGGGTTGTGGTATGCACCCCAGGAGTGCCAAGATGGGGATCTGTGACCAACATTTAAGTGGGAAAGGTGCCCATACACTCAGAGGACTGAGAGGGAACACAGCTGCACATGCGAGGAAATACAGTGAAGTGAAGTGGCTGAGCAAGAGCTTCCTACCAGTTATTATGCTTAAAAGTCATCTGTTAGATCACAACCCAAATTTCAACAACAAAAATACTTCCTTAATATACCAACTTGTATATTAGGAAAGGGTTCAGCACAAATAAAGACACTGCACAAAGCCTCAGCCCTCTGAAAACATCCAGAAATGAAACTAACTGACTATACTCAAATTACACTGCAGTTGAAGGAAAATCAGCCCACTCAGACGAGAAAGAAAACAGTGCAAGAACTCTGACAGCTCTAAAAGCCGGAATGTCTCCTACCCGCAAAGGACTGTACTATCTCCCAAGCAATGGTTCTTGACCAGAATGAGATGGCTAGAATGACAAACATAGAATTTATAATCTGGATGCCAACAAATGTTATTGAGATTTAGGAGAAAGTTGAAACCCATTTCAACAAATTCGGTAAAACAATTCAAGAGATGAAAGATGAATAACCACTTCAAGAAAGAAACAAAACTGAGCTGATAGAGCTGAAAAATTCACTACAAGAACTTCATAACAACATTGGAAGTATTAACTGCAGAATAGACCAAGCTGAGGAAAGAATGTTGGAGCTTGAAGAACAGTTCTTCAAATTAACTTAGACAAAAATAAATTTAAAAATTAATAAAAAATCTGAGAAATATGTGATTATGTAAAGATACCAAATCAATGACTTATGGCGTCCATGAAAGAGAGGGAGAGAGAGAAAGCAACTTGGAAAACATATTTGAGGATATAGTCCATGAAATTGTCCACTCTAACCCCGATCTCACTAGAGAGAGGTTGACATTCAACTTCAGGAAATTCAGAGAGCCCCTGAAAGATACTATACCAGACAACTATCCCCAAGACACATTGTCATCAGATTATATAAGGACAAGGCAAAAGAAAAAATAATAATGGCAACTAGAGAAAAGGAAGAGATCAGCTACAAAGGGAACCCCATCAGCTTAAAAGATGTTTCAGCAGAAACCTTACAAAACAGAAGAGACTGGGGGCCTACATTCACCATCCTCAACAAAAGGAAATTTCAACCACGAATTTCATATCTAGCAAAATTAAGCTTCGTAAGTAAAGGACATATTAAATTTTTTCCAGATAAGCAAATGCTAAGGGAATTTCTTACCAAATGGGGTCTAATTTAACTAAAGAGCTTCTGCACAGCAAAAGAAACTATCATGAGAGTGAAGAGACAACTTACAGAATGGAAGGAAATATTTTGAATTTATCCATCTGACAAAGGTCTAATATCCAGAGTCTACAAAGAAGTTAAACGAATTCACAAGAAAAAAAACAACCCCATTAAAAATGGGCAAAGGACATGAACAGACACTTTTCAAAAGAAGCCATTTATGCAGCCAACAAACATATGAACAAAAGCTCCACATCACTGATCTTAGAGAAATGCAAATAAAAACCATTGCGATATACCATCTCATGCCAGTCAGAATGATAATTATTAAAAAGTCAAAAAACAACAGATGCTGATGAGACTGCAGAGCAATAGATATGATTTTACACTGTTGGTGGGAATGTAAATTAGTTCAACCATCATGGAAGACAATGTGGTGATTCCTCAAAGACTAGAACCAGAAATACCATTTGACCCAGAATCCCTATCACTGGGTATATACCCAAAGGAATATAAATCATTCTGTTATAAAGATACATGCAGACATATGTTTATTGCAGCACTATTCACAATAGGAAAGACATGGAATGAATCCAAATGTCCACCAATGATAGACTGGGTAAAGAAAATGTGGTACATATACACCATGAAATACTATGAAGCCATAAAAAGGAGCAAGATGATGTTGTTTGCAGGGACATAGATGGAGCTAGAAGCCATTACCCTCAGCAGACTAACATAACACAGGAAGAGAAAACCAAACACTGCATGTTCTCACTTGTAAGGTGGAGCTGAACAATGAGAACACATGGACACAGAGAGGGGAACAACAAATACTGGGTCTTGTCAGGGGGATGGGGGGAGGGAGAGAATCAGAAAAAAATAGCTAATGCATGCAGGACTTAAGACGTAGGTGATAGGTTGATAGATGTAGCACCATGGCACACATTTACCAATGCAACAAACCTCCACATCCTGTAAGTATACCCTGGAACATAATATAATATAATAAAATAAAATACTATTACTAGCCACCACAAAAAAACACTAAAGTACATAGACCATTGACAAAGCAAATACACAATCAAGTCTACATAACAACCAGCTAACAACATGATAACAGAATCAATTCTGCACATACGAATATCTTGAAAATAAATGGCCTAAATGATCCACTTAAAAGCACAGTGGCAAGTTGAATAGAGAAGCAAGACTCAACTGTATGTTGTGTCCAAGAGATGCACTTAACATAGAATGACACCTGTGTTGGTGCATTTTCATACTGTTATGGAGAAATACCTGAGACTGGGAAATTTATAAAGAAAAAGAGGTTTAGTGGACTCACAGTTCCATGTGGCTGGAGAGGCATCACAGTTATGGCAGAAGGTAAAAGAGGAGCAAAGGCACATCTTACATAGCAGCAGGCAAGAGAGTGTGTGCAGGGGAACTGCCCTTTATAAAACCATCAGATCTCATGAGACTTACTCACTATCATAAGAAGAGCATGAAAAAAAAAAAAAACTCTCCCTCAAAATTAGATTACCTCTCACTAGATCTCTCCCACAACACATGGAGTTTATGGGAGCTACTATTCAAGATGAGATTTGGGGACACAACCAAACCATATCAACACCCATGGACTCAAAGTAAAGAGATGGAGAAAAATCTACCAAGCAAATGGAAAACATAAAAGAGCAGGGGCTGCTATTACCATAATAAACAGAAATAAACACAATCAGATTCAAATGAACACAGTCAGAAATGGCAAAAGGGACATTTCCAATGACCTCACAGAAACACAGAAAAAACTTTCAGAAACTATTATGAACACTTCCATGAACATAAAATAGAAAACCTAGAAGAAATGTATAAATTCCTAGAAACATACAACCTCCCAATATTAAATCAGGTAGAAATTGAAACTGTGAACAGACCAGTGATGTTTTCCAAAATTGAATCAGTAATAAAAAAACCTACCAACTAGAAAAAGCCCAGGACCAGACAGATTTACAGCTGAATTCTACCACATGTGTTAGAAAGCTAGTTCCAGTCTTGCTGAAACTATTCCCAAAATACTGAGGAGGGACTTCTTCCTAAATCATTCTACGAAGCCGGCATTATCCTGATACAAAAAGCTGGCAAAGACACAACAAAAATAGAAAACTTTAGACCAATATCATAACAAACATACATTAAAAAATTCTCAACAAAATACTAGCAAATTGAATCTAGCAGCACATCAAAAAGCTAATTGACCAAGGTCAAGTAGGCATTATTCCTGGGATGCAAGGTTGGTTCAATATATACAAGTCAATAAATGTGATTCATCACATAAACAGAACTAAAAACAAAAATCACACGATCATCTCAATAGAAGGAAAAAAAGCTTTTGGTAAAATTTAATGCCCCTGCATGTTAAAAACCCTCAGCAAATGAGGTATTGAAGATCCATACCTCAAAAATAGTAAGAACCATGTATGAAAAACCCACAGGCAACATCATACTGAATGAGAAAAAAGCTGAAAGCATTTCTCTTGAGAACCAGAACAAAACAAGAATTTGTAGTCCCACCACTCCTATTTAACATAGTGCTGGAAGTTCTAGCCAGAGCAATTGGGCAACAGAAAGAAATAAAAGGCATCTGAATAGAAATAGAGGAAGTAAAACAATCTCTTTTCATGCATGACATGATTCTACAAATAGAAATCCCCTTAGTCTCTGTCCAAAGGTTCCTAGAGCTGATAAACAACTTCAGCAAAGTTTCCAGATATAAAATCAACGTATGAAAATTAGTAGCATTTCTATACTCCAATATTGTCCAAGCTGAGAGTCAAATCAAAAGACAATTTAATTCATAATAGCCACATGTAGAACAAAATACCTAGAAATACAATTAACCAGGAAGGTGAAAGATTTCTACAATTAGAATTACAAAACACTGCTGAAGGAAATCAGAAGCGACACAGACAATTCAGAAAACATTCCATGGTCATGGATATGAAGAAGCAATATTGTTAAAATAGCCATACTTCCCAAAGCAATCTATAGATTCATTGCTATTCCTATCAAATTGGCAATGACATTTTTCCACAAAATTAGAAAAAGAAATTCTAAAATTCATCTGGTACCAAAAAAGAGCCTGAATAGCCAAAAGCTAAGCAAAAAGAACAAAGCTAGAGTCATCACATTACTCTACTTCAAACTATACTATAAGGCTACAGTAACTAAAACAACATGGTACTGGTATAAAACCAGGCATACAGACCAATGAAACAGAGTACAGAACACAGAAATGGGGCTACACATCTACAACCATCTGGTCCTTAACAAAGCCAGCAATAACATGCAATGGGGAAAGGACTCCAAATGGCGCTGGGTAACTTGCTGGGCATATGAAGAAGACTGAACCTGGACTGACTCCCTTTTTCAGCATAAACAAAAATCAACTCAAGATAGATTAAAACCTAACATGTAAAACCCAAATCTATAAAACCCCTAGGGGATAACCTAGGAAATAACATTCTGAGCTTAGGCTTCAGCAGAGACTTCATGACAAAGACTCCAAAAGCAATTGCAACAAAAACAAATATTAACGAACAGGATCTAATTAAACTAAAGAGCTTCGGCATAGCAAAAGAAACTATCAACAGAATAAACAGACAACCTATAAAATGAGGGAAAACATTTGCATACTATGCATCTGGCAAAGGTCTAATATAAATATCTATAAGGAACTTCATCGACAAAGAAAAGACACCCAACCCCATTAAAAAATGGAGCAAAGGACATGAACAGACACTTCTCAAAAGAAGACAGATAGGCGGCCAACAAGTATATGAAAAAAATGCTCAATATCACTGATCATTTGAGATATGCAAATCAAAACCACAAGGACATACATCTTCACACTAGTCAGAATAGCTGTTATTACAAAGTCAAAAAAAATAACATGCTGGCAAGATTGCAGAGAAAAGGGAATGCTTATACACTGCTGGTGGGAATATAAATTAGTTCAGTCACTGTGAAAAGCAGTCTGGAGATTTATTAGAGAACTTAAAATAGAACTGCTATTTGACCAAGCAATCTTATTACTAAGTATACACCCAAAGGAATATATTCTACCACAAAGACTTATGCACACATATGTTCATTACATCACTACTGACAATAACAAAGACATGGCATCAACCTGGATGCCCATCAGTGATGGACTGGATAAGGAATATGAGGTATATATAAACCATGGGATACTATACAACCATAGAAAAGAATGAAATGATGTCCTTTGCAGCAACATGGATGGAGTCGAAAGTCATTATCCTAAGTGAATTAATTCAGGAACAGAAAACCAAATAGTGCATGTTTTCACTTATAAGTGAGAACTGAACACTGAGTACACATGAACACAAAGAAGAGAACAATAGACACTGGGACCTACTTGAGGTTGGAGGTGGAAGGATGGTGAGAATTGAAAAACTACTCTTTGGGTACTGTGATGGTTAACACTGAGTGCCAACCTGATTGGATTGAAGGATACAAAGTATTGATCCTCTGTGTTTCTGTGAGGGCGTTGCCAAAGGAGATTAACATTTGAGTCAGTGGCCTGGGAAAGGCAGACCCACCTGTAATCCGCCTGGGCACAATCTAATCAGCTGCCAACATGGCTAGAATATAAGCAGGCAGAAAAATGTGAAGAGAGACTGGCTTAGCCTCCCAGCCTACATCTTTCTCCCACGCTGGATGCTTCCTGACCTTGAATATCGGACTCCAGGTTCTTCAGTTTTGGAACTCTGACTGGTTCTCCTTGCTCCTCTGCCTGAAGATGGCCTATTGTGTAACCTTGTGATTGTGCAAGTTAATACTTAATAAACTCCCCTTTATATATATATCTATTCCATTAGTTCTGTTCTTCCAGAGAACCCTGACTGATACAGGTATTATGCTGATTACCTGGGTGACAAAATTATCTCTATACCAAATGCCCACAACAAGTAATTTATCCATGTATCAAACCTGCATATATACTACTTGAACCTAAAATAAAAGTTGGTAAAGAAAACAATGCTTAGTTTCGAACAGACTTTTCTAAGTAAATCACGAATTCTCATAATGATTTGATTTTTTAAAATAATCTTCTGATATCAGCATGGTGATCCAAAATCTTAAGAATCATTTATAATCAATCTTAAAATTAAAAAATAAGTTTGAAAAAGTCTAATATGATAAAACTATCTCTCGTGTAATGTTGGATCTACATATAGCTCTAGTATCTGTATAATTGTGACATACCTCACTGGGTGCGAAATCCCCCTTTGCAAAATGATGACTTTTCCAAAATTCAACTTGATACTTAGATGCACATGGAAAGTTAGTAAAAGGAATAGACAGAATGCTCAAGAATTGTTAGTAAACGGATGCCATAAAAAGAAGTAATAACCTACTTGTTAAATTGCACTTAATCAGACCTGGGTATTTGACCAGAATGACCTAACAACATTTCTATATTTGGCTGTTAACAAGTAGGATTTCCAGAAATAAAATCAACAGCCAATCAACTAAAATGTTCAGAGACATTACTCACCATTAAAAAACTGAAAATACAAAATGATTTTAAAAATTAACATGATGAATTGAGATAAATAGGAGTCTGTGTTTATTCAATCTAATAGAACCAATAGGGCAGCCAAAATGATTAAGCAGAGCCAAACAGAAGAAGAACAAAAGGGTTTATCTACAAGGAAGCTAGATGAATAAATAGAAGTAAGTAAAAATTCCTTGGTCTCCTAAGGTAGTATTCTACCTCCAACCAGCATGAGATAGGATATATTCTGGAATGAGGACTTTCCTTACGGTGCTTCTCCTTTGCTGTTCACAAGTAAATGTGCTTGTTATTTCTGTGTCACAGTAAGAGGTCAGTATGCATTTCCCAGTCCTCTTCCCTTTCTGTAGCAACAACAGAGGGTTTATTTAGTCGATTTAATTTTAAACTTTGAAGAATTCTTTTTTATTCTTTCATTGCTCTTTTTTATAGCTGACTTTTCATTTTTGTATAGATGGAATTTGTCTTGATTCTCTTTATAATTACTGACTAGAGTTCTTTACAATTCTTTTGTATTTCTTGAATTCTCTTTGCATCATGCTACTTGTTTTCAGATAGGAATGATTATAAGAATTTTCTAATGTCTCCTTATTTTCACTTTTGTTTTTGTAGTTTGGTGTTCACTGAACAGCTAACACGAACTTTGAAAAACTATGATGCAGATAATGACACATTCCAGTCTAAGCTGTGAAGTTATTCCTTACTGTACTTCAAATAAAATCCAAATTCTTGATCTTGGCTTGCAAATCCTTTCATAGTGCTATTCTCTTGGTCAGGTCTCTAAGTGTATCTCTATCATTTTCTGTCACTCTGCTTTGAACCCTCTAATTCCATTCTTATTTACCCAGTAATTAAGCTCATTCTTGCCCCCATCTTTGCTCTCAGAATTTCTTCCATGTGGAATATTCTTCCCCTCAGATCTTCATCTATCTCACTTCCTTCAAACATCCATTCAAATATCCTCTCAGTATAGAGCATGTGCTAGTCAGGGTTCTCTATGGTACACATTAGTATTTATTGAGAGAGTCGAAAGGGGAAGAAATTAAAATAAATTGGCTTATATAATTTCGAAGGCTGGAAAGCCCAAAGATCTGCGAGATAGGTTTGCAAGCTGAAGACCTAGAGGAATAGATGGTATAATTCCAGTCCAAAAGTCGGAAGGCTCAAAACCCAAGAACAGCCAATGGTTCAATTTGAGTCTGTGGCAGAAAAAAAGCCAGGGCCTCCCTCCCCAGCCTTTTTGTTCTAGTCTGGCCGCCTTTTTCTTAACTGAGACCCACCCACATTACTCAGTCTATTAATGTAAATGTTAAACCCATCCAAAAACACCCTCAAAGAAACACTTAGAATACTGCTTGACCAAATATCTGGGCACTTCATGGCTCACTCAAGTTGACATATAAAATTAGCCATCTTGGAGGGCTTCAATTACAACCCTACATAAAATGTTTGCGCTATTTCCTCTACTTTATTCCATGCTTTATTTTATTCCACTTTATTTTACTCCGTTAAACCTAACATTATTGGTCTGTGTTGAATTGTGTCTCCCTCAAATTTTTATGTTGTAATCCTAAATTCCAATGTGACTATATTTGGTGAGAGGGACTTTACGGAGGTAACTAAGGTTAAATGAGGGAATGGGGTGGATTCATAATTTAATAAAACTGGTATCCTTATAAGAAGAGGAGGAGAGGCTGGGCCCGGTGGCTCATGCCTGTAATCCCAGCACTTTGAGAGGCCGAGGAGCACGGATCACAAGGTCAGGAGATCGAGACCATCCTGGCTAACACAGTGAAACCCCGCCTCTACTAAAAATACAAAAAAAAAAAAAAAAAAAAAAATTAGCCGGGCGTGGTGGCCGGCGCCTATAGTCCCAGCTACTTGGGAGGCTGAGGCAGGAGAATGGGGTGAACCCGGGAGGCGGAGCTTGCAATGAGCTGAGATCGTGCCACTGCACTCCAGCACTCCAGCCTGGGTGACAGAGTGAGAGAGACTCCGTCAAAAAAAAAAAAAAAAAAAAAAAAAAGAAGGAGGAGATACCCGAAGTGCACATACAGAGACAGAGGAAAGACCATGGGAGGACGCAGTAGAAGTAAGCCATCTACAAGCCAGGAAGAGTCTTCACCAGAAATCAACACCACCAGCACCGTGGTCTTCAATTTCCAGATTCCAGAACTTTGAGAAAATACATCTTTGTTGTTTATGCCACCCAGTCTTTGGTATTCTTTTACAGCAGCCCAAGGAGACTAATATATTTTTGTTTACATTCATTTTATTGTTATTAGAGTATAAATTTCAATACACAGTGACTTTTCCTTTTTCCTTCACCATTTTTATAGCCAGAGGATGCCACTTACTAATGATGAATGAACAAGTGAATAAATAAAGTTTAGAACATTTTTATAATCCTGAAATTTGCCTAGCTTCTTTAAGGTTCAGTATTTTGTTTTCCTTTGTGTGTGTGTGTGTGTGTGTGTGTGTGTGTATTTTTTTTTCTGGTCTATCCGGGCAGATGCTATGTGAGTACTTGTGATTTCAAGGCATGTCTCTTATATTTTTGGGAAATTTGTTTTTATCATTTTGTTGATAAATTTCTCCTTTTTGTTTCCTCTCTTTTCCTTTTCTGCAATTCATTTTAGACAAATGTCAAACCTCCTAAATTAATGATTCATGTCTCTCAATGTTTTCTTCATATTACTCATTTCTATTTCTTTTCTCCCCTACATTTGGGAGAGTTCCTTCATTTTTTTCCTCTGGCCTTTATATTAAATATTTCATTTAAGCAATCATATTTTCAGTATCTAAGAACTGTTTCATAGTGTCTCATTTCTCCTTTTTATAGCAGCTTATTCCATTTTTATGTATCCAATGTCTTCTTGAATCTCTCAGAAACTACTAATTGGAATTCCTTTAAATTATTTTCTATTTTCCAATTTGGCTCTGCATCATAAAAGTCTTGCTGTATGTTTCATTTGTGTTGTTTTGTTTTTAAATTTGGGCTTCTATTTTTCATGTATGTCTAGTAATTCTTGCTTATCCATTCATATACGTGAGTTAAAATTTAAAATATGTACACGGGAAATGTGTGAAATTCCTCAGATTTTTTTGTTGGTATATATATATATATATATATATATATATATATACACACATACACACACACACATATGCAGTAGGTGTCTGCCCCACTTGGGAGTTTTGACAAAGGTTTCCATGTTTGCAAGTATGGTGTGAAGTTTTATTTGTTATATAGGGATGGAGCAAAAAGCTATCCAATTTGGCTCAAATATTTTATTTCTCACTATTCTGCCTTTTACAAACATTACTTATGAATGGTGATGGGCTGCTGACTCATTCAATGGCAATCACTTTATTTTTTTAATCTTCCCCAAATGAGTAAAATATCTGGTCTTATGGTGATTAGAGTTAGACATTTAATAAAATTTCAAAGTGTGGGGCTATGCTCAATCTGTCCGGCTGAATACTATTTTTGAGTTTCAAATCTATCTTCATGAAGCCTTAGAAGCCCTACTTAGATCACAATATGAACAAACATATTCCTTTTTTGAAAAAAATATTGCTAATTCCTGAGGAGGAAATTTATGGAGAAACCTATCTTAAAGATAATGATGCATGATCACTTTCTCTCTGACTCTGCCTCTCCTAATTGAGCTACTTGAGTAAATTAAAAAACATAGATACTCTTGGTATTTGGGAGCTAAAAGGCCATGATATATTCCTGTAAGAAGCCATGAATAAAAGGGCAGAAATTAGGGAATGCAGAAGAATAAACATCATTCATATTAAAATGATTGCTTACCTTCCTGTTTCTTTCACTATTCTAGTACTATTTGAGACCAAATTCTGAATAATTTGAAATTGTCTAACAATACAGTCTTGGGTGAAAGAAAAACCAGAGTCTTTAGTCTGCTCTACCACTTATGGGTGAGTCACTGTGAGTGAATATTAAAGAAAAATAATATTATCTACCTCAATAGGGTGATATGAGCTTTAAATAAAGTGTTTCTTGTTAAGTGATTTTCCTCATGCCTAGAACAGATAAGTGATGAATGAACTATATCTGTTGTTTTTGCAAGTCATAAGATCTAACACTGTGCTAGAAACAGACTAGTTATTTCATAAATGCCTATTGAATGGAAAAAAATAACATCCTACAGTTACATTCTACGTATCTAATTAGGCAGTGGTTCAAAATCACTGATGAGTGAAGCAAAGAAATTTAATGCCGTGTTAAATTGATAGCTATGCCAATATGGCAGTTGTACTAAACAATTAAACCCTTAAGCAATAACAGTCTCCATAATTCATTGGAAACTGAGTGATCACATTGACTTCCTGTCCCATACAGCCAAAATTCATAATGGTTATATTTTCTTTCTCATTTAAGACATTATTTAAGTGAAAGAAACATAATTAAAAGGATTCATATCACAAGATGTTAGAAATGTGAGAATAGACAAAAGATGACATCAAATTTCTAGAAGATAAGTTGAGAGTGGAAGGATGCTGACCACTGGAGCAAAGTGAGTGTATTCAAGCCCAGAATAAATGACACTGAGAAGGGGAAACTCATTTGTCAAATAGAAGCCCAGGAAAACTTTGAACATAATGTAAGTAGTAAGGGGAAGAAATAAAAGGGAGACTAGAAATAGGGTGGTTGCTTAATGCATATCTACGCAACAAGCATGCAAGCTCTACCTTCAAACACTTATGTACAGCTTGAATTTATAACTGGGCAAAATACCACAGCAATATTTTTGCAAGATTGAGTCATGGATCATGGTTGTCCCGGATACACTCTATCCTTAGGTTTCTATGTTCTCCGTTCACTAACACCAGAGTGTCATGTGCTAATTGGTAATATCAATATCTATATACAGACAGAGTTTCCAGTCATTTTAATTTGTAAAAAATCAGCTTGATGACTAGTGGGAAAATAGATATACATATAAAGTAGCAAGGAAAAACCAGTCAGCCACTTAGAAAAATTTAAGTCAGTTCCACATTCTAAATATTAGTGGGCGATCAAAGTTAATATGCTGTGAGAAGAAAACAGATAATTTAGTGTTTAAAAAAACAGATATATTTAAAGAAATAGTTATTAGAAATAATTCAAAGAGTAAAACATAATGTCCTTAAAAATCCTTATAGTGTCTTCAAATTCAATAATGTTTTACCTAGAAGGCAGAATATGATGCTAAATAATAAGCAACTGAAAAAAATGAATAAAAGAGCTCTTAAAAATTAAAAATATAGCAGCTCAATGGAAAACATGAAGGATATTACTCTGAATATAGAATCAAAAGCCAAACAAATACAAAGTATTTTAAAAACTGATATACAGGACAATATTGGAGAAGTGCAATATTCGATTAAGAGAAAGAATTGTATAAAAAAAGAAAAATATCAGGAGTAACAAGGCAAGTGGTTAAATGAATTGACAATTTTTAAAAATACAATAAAAGGAAAGGAAAACTAAATTACATGCATTGTGGTGATATTTGAAAATTCCAAGTTTAAGAATTAATCTAGGAATTAAGATCTCCCTTAGGTTCTTCAATAGAGAAAATCAGTTCATCTGCAGAGGAAAATAAGAATAATAATAACAGACTTCTCATTAAGATCTTGGGAATTGACAGAATATGAAAAATTATTTTGAATTTCTATTATTTTCAAAGTAAAATGATATTAATTCAACTTATCAATCAAACATACTCTATAGAGACAGAATGCAGACCATACTGAGGTTTACAACTTTATTCATGATAGGACATGTAGAAACTAATGGGTCCACTTTATATGAGATATTGGTGGACTCTAAAGTCACTGCTATTGAGAAGAATGGAGTGGATTGTGTTATAGATTGCAATTAATTCATTCTTTATCCTTTCCTGCATTATTTTATTTACAATGTAGTGCTGCTGCTCCCTTCGTCCATGGGAAAGCCGCCTTCCTCACAGCTTGATTCAGCCAGGAAAACTGTCTTAGCCAATGAGATGTGGGTACATGCAACATAAGCAGAGATTTGAAAAAAAAATACTTGCATGTCAGGGCTTGCTCTCTCATTTATACCTATTGTCATAAAGCATCCCTGGGATTGTCTTCTGGTTGGTGAGAGATAAGTGGCACTGAAACTAGTCACCACAGTCACCCCAGAATATAACTAGTGAACCCATCATAAAAATAAGCCCAGCTGGACACCTTATATTAATAAGGAATAATTGAATGTGTTGAACACCACTGAAATCTTATAGTTGTGTGTTGTACCGAATCAATATTGCAATACATTACTGTTAACAGTTTCCTAATAACAGTTGTTTATAGTAGAATGATTAGCAATAGTAGGAATTGATATGAAGATATCCAGAAGATAAAAACAAGTTCTTTTACATTAACAAGTAAAACAAAAGAAAGTAAAAGAAACTCTAGAAACACACTATATATATGAAATACATGATTTCAGTATAAACCTGAACAAAAGTTGGTATAAATGTCAATAATTGAAAAAATGTAAAAAAGTGAATTACTTTTTAATCTAAGTTGTTTGTTCTCTTATTGTTGACCCAAGGTCACCAGACCTTTTCTTACATTAGCCTCTAGGAGTTTTATAGTTCTGTGTTTTCCATTTAGATCTGTGATCCCAGATATATTAAATTTTGTGATGAGTGTAAGGTCTGTATCTGGACCCACTATCTTTGAGCAAGGTTCACTTGTTCCAGCATCATTTGTTGAAAACACTATTCCTCCTCCATTGTATTGCCTTTGCTCCAGTTTCAAAGATCAGTTGACCATATACATGTCAACTGGGCTTTGCATTCTGTTCCCTTGATCTATTCATCTATTTTTTTCACCATTATCACTTTGTCTTGAATACTGCAGCTTTATATTATATTACGCCTTGAAGTTGGATAGTGTTAGTCCTCCAACTTTGTTCTTTTCTTTCAAGATCTTAGGAGACAACCCACCAAAGAAGATGAATACATGCAAATAAGTATATGAAAAGATGCCCCAAATTATATGTCATCAGGGAAATGCAAATTAAAACAACATTGAGATACCACTACACACATATTAGAATGGCCAATTCCATAACACTGACAACACCAAATATTAGAGAAGATGTGGTCTAACACAAATGCTCATTCATTGTTGACAAAAGAGCAAAATGAAAAAGCTACCTTGGAGGAGAGTTTGGTAGTTTCAAAACTAAACATGATTTACTACATAATCCAGTAATTGTGATCCCTGGAATTTACCAAAAAAAGTTGAAAACTTATGTCTAGACACAAACCTTCATGTGGATGTTTATATTACCTTTGTTTATAATTGTCAGAATGGAAGCAACCAAGATGTATGTCAGTAGGTGAATAAATTAGCTATAGTACATCGAGACAATGGAATATTATTCAGTGATAAGCTACTTAATGTTACTGAATCGTGCACTTCTAAAGCCTAAAATAGTAAATTTTATGTCATATGTACTTCACCATGTTAGAAAAAATTGAAATAGCAAATGTTAAATAAATATATAAACACATATTTTAACATGTTGCTAATTGTCCTGGCTGAATAATAGCTCTATGTATAATATATCCTTAGGGCAAGGTTGTTTATAAACCCATATTTCAAAAATCTTATGCACTAAATTTCTTGGTGTCTCATAAGTTTACCACTTGTTTTATCAGTTATATGACAAATAAAGATTTTAAACAAGCAGTTGAGAATCACTCTTAAAAACTCAGAAAAACTCTTTAGAAAGACCTACTTTGTATATTCTTGTCTCATTGATTCTACACATTGTTTTACATCAATCAGCAATGCTTCTAAATAATTATATATTCATGAAAAGTCACACATAAGAATGTACATAGTAGCACTCTTTGCTTAAAAAATCTGGAAACAACCCAATGTTAATTGTGAAAAGTAGAACATTAAATAAATTGAGTTATACTTTTACATTTAAATACTAAGCAACAATAATATTGAACAAACTTCAAATATACAATGCAAATGATGTTTAAACACATACATGTTAATTTTCAAGAAGCAATACACTAAATAGCAAAATAGTTATATAACTAACAAAACAGCAAAATAATCTCTGCATATGGTGACAAGGTTCTTTCTTGTTACCATGGCTGGATGATAAAGTTACAGGAAGGGGACAAGAACATCTTCAGATCACTACAAAGGTTCTCTCACATGATATTAGTGCTGGTTATACAGGAGTGTTTAGTTTGTGAAAATTTAACTATACATTGACAATATTTGCAATTTTATGTATCTACATTATAATTTATAAGAAAGTTTGCTGAAAATGTCAACAAATAAAAGTAAAATTCTTTTAAGAGCTGTGCTATACGGAAAAAACACACCTGGATATTTTCTATAATAAAAGCTAAAAAGAACTACTTACACTGTATATGTTTATTAATTTATTAATTATGTATATATTTAAGTCATTACATGATCATCCAGATACAACTCTGACATACAGAGAGTATGGATGCTGTCATTCCCATCCTTTCAACAAGAAAAATCTAAACAAACTGAAAACCAATGACATTTTTTAGACTTATCATAGAGCTGAGGTTGCAGGGTAAACAACAAAAGAACTACAAAGTAAACCAAAATCCAAACCAAACCAAACAAAAAACAGTTTGAAAAGACAAATCAATCATCAGAACTAGATTCAGATGTGACACAATTTTGAAATTATCAGAAAGAGAATTTAAAACAGCTTTAATTAACTTTTTTATTTTATTTTATTTTTTTTTTTTTGAGGGAGTTTCGCGCTCTCCCCCAGGCTGGAGTGCAGTGGTGGAAATCTCGGCTCACCTGTTAGAATGACTATTATCAAAAAGAGAAAAAATAACAATTTTGACAAAGATGCAGAGAAAAGAGAAATCTTGAACACTGTTGGTGGGATAGTAAATTAGTATAGCCATGGACAAAAGTATGGCAGTTTCTCAGAAAATTATAAATATAATTATCACATGATACAGAAATCCCACTACTGTGTATATATTTTAAAAATTAGTATGTTGAAGAGATATGCCAATTCCCATGTTTACTTCAACATTATTCACAATAGCCAAGACATGGGATCAACCTAAATGTCCATCAATGAGTAAATGGATAAAGAAAATGTGATATATAAATCCAATGGAATCCTATTCAGCCATAAAAAGAAAAAAAATTACTATTTGAAACAACATAGATAAACCCGAAGGACATTATGCTAAGTTAAATCAGCCAGGCATTGAAAGAAAACTACTTTATAATCTTGATCACATGCTGAATCTCAAAATGTTGGTATCATAGAAGCAGAGTAGAATGGTATACCAGGGCCTCGGGCAATTGGGGTGAGAAGGTTGGGAAGATGTTGATCAAAGAATACACAATTTCAATTAGACAGGAGGAATAAGTTGAAGAGATCTAGTGTACAATATAGTGACTATGGTTAATAACATATTGTATTCTTAAAAATGCCAAGAGAGCGTATGTAAAGTGTTCTCAACACAAAAATGATAACGATGTGAGGTAATTAAGATGTTAATTAGCTAGATTCAATCATCCCACAGTGTATATATACTTCAAAACATCATATTTTCCATTGTAAACACATCGAATTTTATTTGCCAATGTAAAAAATAAGATGATATATATTAAAAGCTGCATGACAAAAATTTAAACATTAAAATATAATTGATATGCTGAAAGAAGACAAAGTGTACTCAAATAATTGCATGATAAAGCAAAAATGTCTTTTATCTATTTTGTTCACTGCTGTCCTCAATTATCTATAAATTCTGGCTCATAAAAGTAGAAAAATATTTACGTGTAAAATAAAAAAGTACATGAGCTACAAGCAAAATATATGAAGTTTAGTGTGCTCTGAAAGTTAGGAATACATTTTTCAGGTTTTTAGAAAGATTAAAATGACTAAAATTATTAAAATAAATATTAGTATTTACTGTTTCAAAAGAAATACTTTTTTAATGGCAAAAAATATAAATACAAGTATCCTACAAACACAAACACACACATACACACAAGCATTCAGGATGATTTACTTAAAGCAAGAAAAACAGGAAAAAACAAGAATAAACAAGAATTTCTTCAGCCATTAAAAAAAAATTAACAGGTTAATACTTGTAGAGAAAACAACTATGCCTCTATTTCACAAATATTCATCATGTTAAAATTTAAAGTCAGAATTATAATTTTTAATAACAATATTACATTGTCTTAAAGATCAATATTTCACACTCATATTTTTAATTTTGTCAAATTGCTTAATTAATATCAGAAAACTGTTTTCCTTTGACAGCATCATTAAAATTTTTTCTTCATTTATATTTGTAGCATTTGTATTCTTATGAGATGAAATTAGTTTTTGAAGCAAGAATAAAATAATTACATTGTCTGTTCTGAACTCTTTTTACAAAATAAAAATCTCTAAAACAGTCTTGTAAGTAATAGGAAATTGGACTCTCACAAATATTTTCTATAATCTGAAATAGCTTACCAGTGATTTAATTTTAGTAAAATATGTCTTCAAAGCAATAAATTATTTCTGTATGCAAATTAAATGGTTAAAATTAGAACTTATTGTCACCTTATCCTTTACATCTGTCTTTATTCCATTGTCTATAAAAATCACATTATATATCCAATTTTCCAAGAAAACAAGGCTTATTTCTCTCCTTAAACTCTATCTATGTTGCCTCAGTTGATAAAATCTGTTAAGAATTCACACAATTCGGCTGTTGAATTTCATAAAATCCAATCCAAAGTCTTTAAGCATGTAAAGACTCCTATGATTTGGACCCCGCTTCCTTCCTAGACTTATATTTTGCCTATTACCAACTCATGCCCCATTTTCCAAATATGTGTGTGTTGTTTGGTCTGTCGAACCATTTTTGGAATAGCACACTGTTCTTCACAAATTTCTGTTTCCTCATTCCAAGACTTTACTTATAATGAAACTTCAAAGCAATTTGACCTGCTCCCTAATTTTGGGATAGGCGAACTATTCAAACTAGGCCAATTAAAATTATTTCCTTGGGGGGGATATATATATGTATATATGTGCATATATATCTGAATATTAAAAAAATACTGATTTGTGTGTGTATACAGAAACACATATACATACATATACATACATTTATACATGTATACATACATACGTCCATATACATAAACACATATATATGTTTACACACATACACACACACATTGGAATGAAAAGGAAAAAGAGGCTTTCATTGGTAGCTAAGAATGAGTATGTATATCTGAGGGTAAAACTTATGAAATATCAAGGACTCAAAGAAAAGAAGACAATTTTAATAATAAAACCTCAAAGCTAAGCTTCATTAGCTTCATGCAAATCCACATCTGCTGGACATTAGATATGGTAAATTAAGTCATTCCTATTCTAAAACTCCATGAGTCCAGTATACTGTAACTGAAAATGGAAGAAAATTAATAAAATAATTGGCCTCAATAGATAAATGTAATGTCATGTGTGTGAATATCTTTCCATCACATATGTACAAAGTTAAATTTATATGTATGGGCTAAATTTAATTCCCTAATAAATTATGTTTATGATTATGTAATAGAATTAAGTCACTTTCAACATATAAATGATTTATATGGTCACAAATGTTAACTTATTATACAGAAGTGTTTTGTGAATTAATGACCATATAATTAAAAGATATTCTTTACAAATAATAATATTGAGAATTTAATATTTATTAATGATATTCAGTAGTTTAAAAACCAACATATCATTATCATATTTAATTTTGATATTAAACTCATTTCATATTTGAAGTATCCAAGGTCACTCTAGTAAGTTGCTGAGAATGTCTAGGAGGTGTGGTTTCCAATTTTTTGGCTAGTGCACTTTTTATAATGCTTCACTGTGTACCTTAGATTTGTCAGTACTGCAGTGTAATATTGTCATTATTTTCTTAACAACTTTTAAAAATATCCAAACTTCCCAGCACTTTGGGAGGCTGAGGCGGGCGGATCACGAGGTCAGGAGATCGAGACCATCCTGGCTAACATGGTGAAACCCCATCTCTGCTAAAAATACAAAAAATTAGCTGGGCGTGGTGGCGGGCGCCTGTAGTCCCAGCTACTGGGGAGGCTGAGGCAGGAGAATAGCGTGAACCCGGGAGGCGGAGCTCGCAGTGAGCCGAGATCGCGCCACCGCGCTCCAGCCTAGGTGACAGAGCGAGACACTGTCTCAAAAAAAAAAAAAAAAAAATCCAAACTTATTGACATGTTAAAAATAATATGTTAAATAAATATATATTATATTTTGAAAAATAAAATAAATTCAGTCCCCATTCATATATGCTATGTCATAGAAATTTTTGTTCCCACTTCTCCGGATGGTTGATTGTACCCAATTTAAAATACTTAGAAATAAATAAAAATTCTTTGTTCCAGAGGGTGTTATCAGCAGAAATATTTATAACATTATTAACAGGACATATATTTATTAATATATACTTTTGAAAGATCGGTTTTGGAATAAAATGATTGCCATTAACACATCCGTATTATTGATCACTGTCTAAATCCTCCTTTGTCATGCTCCTAAAATGTCATTTGATTCAGATATTTTGTTTATATAAGTCTTTAAAAGCTGTCCAAAGAACAACTGCATTTTGGTAATATATTAACAAAAAGATATTTTCATATTTAAACCACATCATTTGGTTGGGTGTACAGGCTTTTTTTAAGAGTCCTGTATATTCTTAGTGTGCATTAAACTTCCGAATTTTAAAATTTGATTTGAGTCTTTGTTCTCATATCAGAAAAGTCTAGTGGAGGAAAGGTAATAAACCAATACTTCTGTAAATACTTTCAAGAAGTTGATTTTTTTTAAAGTTAATTGACACATACTCCAACAAATGCAATTATCATGCTTTTTATTATAACTTTGGCAACCAAGTCATATTGATATGTTAAGATATTCTGGCTGGGTGCGGTGGCTCACGCCTGTAATCCTAGCACTTTAGGAGGCGGAGGAAGGCAGGTCACCTGAGGTCAGGAGTTTGATACCAGGCTGTCCAACATGGTGAAACCCTGTCTGTACTAAAAATACAAAAATTTGCCTGGTGTGGTGGTGGGTGCCTGCAATCCCAGCTGCTCAGAAGGCTGAGGCAGACGAATCGCTTGAACCTGGGAGGTGGAGGCTTCAGTGAGCAAAGATTGTGCCACCGCACTCCAGCCTGGGCGACAGAGCAAGACTGTCTCAAAAATAACTAACTAACTAACTAACTAACTAAATAAATAAATAAATAAGATGTTCTGAGCTTTGTTTCCTATATGCAAGTATAGGGGAAAATAGTGGATAGATGAGCTAGAAAGGAATGATATCATTACTTTAATTAAGTTATTTAGTCTTTAAAGGCACATTAGTGTCTGGTGTTTATTTTAGCATTGAACTAAATTCATTGCTATTTTATTAATCTCATCAATTGCTATAGCAACAATTTTAAACCATTTGTCCTCATATAGCTTTCTCAAGCATTCTTAACTTTTTAACTGTTTTTCACTAGTAAGTACAATGTAAATATATTTCCCATTAAAAGTTCATCAGAATATTTTTTTGTAAAAATATATTAGCAGTTTTAACATAATAATGCATGTTAAGGGATTTCTTGATTACTTATCTTTTAGTTAATGAGTATTATGGGTTTTTTGATGAATAGATATTAAAGATCATCTAATATACAATTATACTAGCAAAATACCATCCTTTGAACAACGACCAAGAAAAAAATATTAAAATTATTTTTATAAACCAGAGATGTAATTAAAAGAAATAGAATCAAGATTTCTTTTAAAATTATGGAAAAACACTTACAATCTGACACCATGTTTACAAGTTAAAAAAAATCTTTTCAACATTCCACAAAGCAAGTGAATTAAGAGTATTATTTTTAACACATTACACACAAAATAAAATTCTAAAATTGCATTTCCAGATGATATTTTAGATGATCCTTTCCATCATTGGCCTATATCCCTTACTCTGACGCTTTCATTTCTTCAGTAAAATTGTCTTCTAACTTTTAACAATAGCATATTAACTCATTCTTATCACCCAGTTATAGGTATAGATTATTTGGATTTTCCAATTTGTACAGTGAAGCACCTACTTTCTGTGCAAAACAAAGATTTTTTTCTTTCATAAAAAGAAAGTCCTGCTTCTCCAGAAAGAGTTGTTAAATATTTGTACAAGTGAGTTTTACTTGGGGAATCTGTTTAATATGGATATTCTGAGGTTCCACACTAAGAAATTCTGATCCGTGATATCTGAATTGGTGTCTATAAGTTTGCATTTCTTAAGGAGAACCTCAGGGGATTCTGACATCAAACAGTGCACATCAAGAATCTTACAATAGAAGAATTAAAATAAATTTTTTAAACATACTAAACCAACTTTATGTTAGTAATTTGGAATATTAGCAATTCACTGTCCTGACATAAATTGAGGAAAATTTTAGCTACTGTGACTCATTCTCATTTTCCAGACAAAATCTGACATGGATTCATAATTTGCTCAATAATTTATTTATTTGATGACTCAATCACTTCCATTCAACAACTATTTATTAGGTGCTTTGTATATCTGTGTATACTGATAATGGAAATATAAACAAGTAACTCCTTTGTGAAATTTCCAGCTTCATGGGAAAAACAATTACTTAAAATAAGTGTAAAATCCCAGCAGTATTATCCACTATAAAGTGTGAATCAATTAGGTTTCAGTCAGGTTAGCAATACCACTCTGAGTATTATGGGCTATACTGGTTTTCTCCCACTGTATAATAAATTAACACAGGATTATCAACTTATAACAATAGATTCATTATTTCACAGTTTCTGTGAGACCAGAGTCAAGATATTGGTTTAGCTTCTTTCTGTGCTCAGAGTCTCACAAAGCTGTAGTGAACATGTTAGCGAGGCTGTGTTCCTTTCCAGAACTTGCATTTCCTTCCAGGCTCATGTGGTTGTTGGCAAAATTCAGTCCCTTGCAGCTGTAAGAATGAGACTCTCAGCTCCTAGAGGCTGCACACAATTTGTTGCCAAGTTGGATTCTCCTTGGACATTTCATGTCATAATGATGCAGGGCAGGTGAGCCCCAAAATGGGGCTTAGCCCATTAGGGTTCTTGGCTTTGTCCAGGAAAGAATTCAAGGGCAAGCCACAGGTAGAAGAAAACAGTTTTATTGAAGATGCAGTGTTACAACTCCTGCAGTGTTACAGTTCCATGACTTTTCCTGCAGAGCAGGCCTACCCTGTACTGTAGACAGAGAGTAGTAGCTCAGGACAGTTTTGCAGTCATGTTTATACATACTTTTAATCACATGCAGATTAAGGGGTGGTGTTTGCAGAAATTTCTAGGGAAGGGGTAGTAACTTTTGGGCCATCAGGTCATTGCCACAGAAAGGGGTGGTAACTCTGGGTGTTGTCATGGCAATAGTAAACCAAAATGGCACACTAGCGTGTGTATCTGATGAAAAGCTGACTCTGCCCTGGCCCTGTTCTAGGAAGTCTTCAATTTGGTCCTGTGTCCAATCCTCATCTCTGGAGTCGAGTCCCACCTCCTACCTCAATTACTTTCGGACCGAAAAATTACTTCTTAGAGATCAGCAGGAGTAGATATCTCTACAGTCTGCTAAGAGAGAGAGTTCTATAGAATGTAACATAATCAAGGGAGTAATATCACATCAAATTTTCTGTACTCTACTGGTTAAAAGCAGTGCACAGTTTCCACCCACACCCAAGGAGGGGCAACTGCACAAAGGCCTAAAGATCAGGAAGCAGATTATTGAGGGTCAACCTGGAATCTGTCTGCTATATGGAAAAATGGCTTTTAGAGGAGTTACAGCTTATATTGTTTGTTGAGAAGCTGGTGAAGCGAAGGTTTGGAAGGATGGGTTGACAGTACAGAGTAAGCATGACTAACAAATCCTCTGAAACCCTGAAGCAGAGGGAGCAGTTTGGGTCTGCAGGGAATCCTGAGGAACTAAGTGCATCCAATCCCTGCAGTGGAAATAACAAGTTTCTCTATCAGCCAACATTATCCCAATGCCATATAGGAAATCAATTTTGAATAACATAATACCCAGCTTAACACAATAGCACATTTTGGCATTCATAATATCTATTGAAATATATTCATTTCCAAATTCAGAAAATAGCAGTCATCTGCTTCCACACAACACGAGGCAACCATGACTCATACAACTGAAAATTCACTAACCCTCATTATAAAAAAGACACAAAAATACGTATATACTTTGGTAAGATTTATTTCTTTTCTAGCAATCGCTACCCTTCTTATATCCTATAAATTAACTACTGGGATATACGGTTGACTATGATGATCACATCTTATGTTAGCTACTAGGAGAATGAAAGTGGGAAAGAAAAATCATCTGTTAGTGAATATACAAGTATATTCATGTTAAAGCAAAGAATAAATATTCCTAATTGGTAACATATGCAAATGTACAACTGGTCATGTGGCTATAAGTGGTATTTATAACTGTCTTCTATTTCCAATTCCATATTCTCTTTGACCTCAGAAATTATGTTAGCTTGGCATGGTTCCTTGCTAGTAGAGTGACCCAAATCCTCATTTCTACAGCATCTGAGTAATTAGTAGTCATGCCTATACTGAGATGTTAATGTTTTCTTTTGGCATTTATTTTAGGAAAAAATATTTCTAAGAGAGGCCCTAGCAGACCTCCTGAATTCCAGATGTTCTCTCCACTTCTATTGTAAAGCAGGAACCCAAGTTCCTCTGTAGATTCAGAATGAATCACTGCAACCACTATGTTAACCTCCTTCTTTTCCTGATAGATAACTGTCACAAACATCACGATATGGCCAGGTGGTAGCCTCAACTATCAGTTTAATGGAAACTTTAGTTTTTCATTAACATTTTTATGTACCTTGGAGAAATCCTTCCCTCACTGAGAAATATTGTTTCTAAAACAAAAGAGTCAACATTGCAAGATAGGAAGCAAACAATTTCTTGAGAGATTGCTAGGGGTAATAGTAAGATATTCACTACTATACCCCCTCAGCTCTTGACTCTTATATGCATGAATGTGGGCTATGGAAAAAACAGCATTATATACTGATCACTGATTCAAAGCATTGTTATATCCTGGAGGACATTATCTGAACCTCACAAAGTATCAGCTAGTGTATTTCACTGCTTCTTCAGACCACTTACAGTAGTTGTAATGAAATATATGTAACCAGGTTGTTAAGACCAGAGGTTAAGAATAGGAAATTCCATTACCGTAAGCCCATGTATGTTCTTCCCTTACTATAAACTAAATTATTTAATCTGTACCAATTCTGTATGCAATATCAGGGTGCTAAATAAAGCAACCTATATGTCCATAGGTGGTGGGTTTGACAACTTGCTGGAGAATTTGACGAAATATTAACTTTTGAAAAAGTAATGAGCAAATTTCTAACAGAGATATGCTGAGCTTCCAGACCTATAGGCAGACTTAAATCTTAAATGACTTACTAGTTACAAGATGTGGCCCAGAAGGAAGCAGTACATATATCAAGCTACTTGCAAAATTTTGCCAATTTACCTTTAATGAAACTAGTCCAATCAAATTATTGATACTTCTATTATCCATATTTATCTTAATTCAATCAGAGTTACTTAAATTGTGATAGTGAGTATTTTCAATGTCATGGATATTACAGAAATCAAGTCTTATATAAATGTGGGAGGAGTTGAGAAGTGAAGATTATTGGGATAAGCAGACACAGAGAAAAATAGACTAACAAGTCCTTAAGAAGCATCACACAGATGGACAAATTAGAGTTTTTGTGGGAAAAGCTGAGAATCTAAGCATGTCCCTGCCAGCTCCTGGAGAGGTCTCTTGCCACAATTAAACCTCAGCAATCAAGACAGAAACTAGAGGCTGCATCAAGGACAGTGAGATTAAGCTAAATCCCAACAAGTACCTTTCTTTCCATCACCCTATCTGACTTCAAAGTCCTATAGAATAAAAGTGGCTACTTCACTTCCATCATGGAAGTCATGTTCAAAGTCCATTTTGGCCAAATCTACATACAGTCAAAGGGATTCTGGTAAACATAGTTCTAAGGTTAATCAATTTGGCAATGGCTAGGGTCGCCAGATTTCGTAAATACAAGTTTAAGTTGTCCAGTAAAATTTTAATTTTACCTAAACAATTATTTTTATTTTAGTATAACTATGCCCCAAATATTGCTTGGGACTAATACTCTAATAATGCTCTACTCGGCTCTACTTGACCCTACTTAATATTTTTACTATAATCATGCTCACTGTAATATGTGAGACACACTCATAGTAAAAGAAGTATGCTTTGTTTACATAAAATTCAAATTTAACTGGGTTACGTGTATTTTATCTGACAACCCTTAATAGCACAATCTATCATAAATTACCAGGAGTAGAATGGTAGACATAGCTCCAGAAATAGGATGAGGTCAGACTGTAAAGGGCTTCAAAAGCTATATTGTTGCCAGTTTTCAACCTTTTCTTAATGTGTTCTCATTTGATCTTCACAACAAACAATAATTTTTGACAAAGAATTAGGAGATATTTAGAGATAATAAAGCCGATAACAAAGAATTATTTAGGTTTATATCAAGTCTTCATGCCAAACTATTTTCTTCACATTAGGCTGCTTACTGGCTATAAAATATTTAATATCACTTAGATAAAGCATTTACAGGAATTCTTTAGTATTTTGATATCATGTGTCCCATATCTGCCAGGGAAATACAATTTCAAAACTTGATACCAATGTTTACATTACACATTAACAAGCCCATTAATCCCATCATTTTTATTTTAAGATTATAAGTCATTAATAATATTATATATTTCATCGTAGGTCTAGAATATTTAATGAACTATAGAAATGATTCCTGAGAGTATATTCTTGGTCTAGAACATTTAAAATAATTGTTTAGCTTCTGAAAATATAATAATTACTCCTTATTGTCTTCCATTTTGCATATCTGATATTTGTCTCAAAAGAAAATGTTTTATCACATTATTATAACATTTAGAGGTAGATATTATCTGCTCTTACTACTGTGTGAATATAATTATATTAGCTCAAAATACATAGAATTTTCTAGAATTATTAATTATATTTAAATTTTGTTTTATAAGAACAATTATAAAATAGCATAGAACATCTTCATACTTTTCCTTCTTTTGATGGCTTCTTAATAAAATACAGACTATACAATTAAATGTGTTCTTCAAAACAATGCATTTATAACCTGTCTGTAAGTCTACTCTACTCAAACATATAATTATGCTAAAAAATCAAATTAGCACACTGGAACAACTGGAGGTAGTCTCTTGATCTGTGTGGATGGTACCATACAGCTTAGCCATTGTTGGAAATAGTTTTCTTCAACCTTCTTACCTCTGAAAACATTCCACTGACATCCTTTTGTCCTGTGGAAACAAGATTGACAATGTAGACATTATTTGAAACTAATAGTTCAAATTGGCCATCATAGATCAAGTACTAGATGCCTTTTGAATATTTGGCCCTACACGTCCATCACTGTAGGCAATTAATTTAGTGGCATTGTTAGTACATTCAATTCTCAGCCTTTCTGCAGAGACTTCCAGACAAAGATTCTAATTAATGCCAGTCAAGATGATGATTTTGTGTAATGAACATTTTGAGGACTAAAATGTATTTGAATACAAGTTTACACTGCATGAGTTTCAAAAACATCTAGACAATTGACCCTGAATTGGGCCTCATGTCTGAAACTTAAAAATTTTCAACATTATTAGCAAAGTAGGCCAATTAAACACTACAAATTAAAAATATGTGTATTCACAATGAGATAACCATCTCACACCAGTTAGAATGGCAATCATTAAAAAGTCAGGAAACAACAAGTGCTGGAGAGGATGTGGAGGAATAGGAACACTTTTACACTGTTGGTGGGACTGTAAACTAGTTCAACCATTGTGGAAGTCAGTGTAGCGATTCCTCAGGGATCTAGAACTAGAAATACCATTTGACCCAGCCATCCCATTACTGGGTATATACCCAAAGGACTATAAATCATGCTGCTATAAAGACACATGCACACCTATGTTTATTGTGGCACTATCCACAATAGCAAAGACTTGGAACCAACCCAAATGTCCAACAATGATAGACTGGATTAAGAAAATGTGGCACATATACAAGATGGAATACTATGCAGCCATAAAAAATGATGAGTTCATGTCCTTTGTAGGGACATGGATGAAATTGAAAATCATCATTCTCAGTAAACTATCCCAAGAACAAAAAACCAAACACCACATATTCTCACTCATAGGTGCGAATTGAACAATGAGAACACATGGACACAGGAAGGGGAACATCACACTCTGGGGACTGTTGTGGGGTGGGGGGAGGGGGGAGGGATAGCTCTAGGAGATATACCTAATGCTAAATGATGAGTTAATGGGTGCAGCACACTAGCATGGCACATGTATACATATGTAACTAACCTGCACGTTGTGCACATGTACACTAAAACTTAAAGTATAATAATAATAAAATAAAAAAGCATATTCATCATGCTGTAATTCCAGACTACATTGATGTTATTTTGAAAGAATTTGCATTGCATATTATCTTCCTTTTTATTAATAATATTGGATTGTTTATTGAGATTTTGCTTCTTTGTAAGAATCACTGACACTAACTGAGACTAGTTGAAATGTTGATGCTACATCCAGTAGTATTTAATAGAACAAAGTACTTTTATTTAGTTTATATAACTGGAAGTGTGGAAGTGCTGAACTTATGTTTTTTATGTTTTATAATGCTTATTGTTTATTTCAATTATGTACTCATCTCTGGACTGTTTATAATAGTTTGTAGATCTCCAATATCATATAAGGTTAATTTGAAATTCACACAGAGAGGTGACTTTGGGGCTAAGTCAATTTTAAGATATTAAGCCTAGATTTTTGTAAGTATGGAGAATACGAATTTTGATGCTAATTTCTAAGTATAATTTTAGGCCAGTTTTCATCAAGAATCATCTTAGAGGGACTAAATTACAAATTAAAATCACATTTGTATAGTTTTAGTAGAAACAGCATCATACGGAAAAGAAAATGTTACCCAAATTAGGAAACAAATCGCAAAGTTGATGTTTTTGAGACACGGAGACAGACAGAGATGTTTTAATGAGTTTTAAAAGTGCTTAAAGAGAAAGTCCATTATGAAGGAAAGCTACCTTATAATCCCACTTCTTTAACTTCTGAATACAGAGGAAGAATAATTGCTTCCTGCAAGATGTTTATAACCCAATCCCCAGAGAAAGAGTCAACCAGCCATTGCTAGCTTTGAAAAAGAAAAGGAGCCTGAAATTACACTTTCTGGTCTGACATATAAACAGTTTGGAAGTTGTCACTTCCTCCTCAGAACAAGGAAACATCTGAAGTAACTGATTATCAACAACTCTTCTTATGTCTATTAAGAAATTGAGATCAAAGATGAAGCACTTTCCTGAAAACTAGAGAAAGAGGTGAGTAACAAGAATTACAATTTACCAGGACCAGAGCCAGAGGCAGAAGCTCATTGCTAGAGCCAAGATTAGTAGAAACACTTTCTTTGTAAATCCTGAACTGATAGAAGCTCAATGTCAGCTAGCTTGAGGTTAGAAACTCCAGGGGCTGAGTTTCTCTCTCTCTCTCTCTGTCTCTCTCTCTGTATGTATGTATATATATATATATATATATAATCAGAGCCTATCCAATTTGGGGAAGAAAGATATCCACTTCCAATCCCTCTAGCCTTTCTGTTTCACCTTAGGGGAGAAAAAAATCTGAGAAGCACTTCGGAAAGTCACAGCCCAGGAGCAAAAAGCTCACTAGCAGACTCAGACCTAACGATAGGCTTTCCAGCACCTGCCCGTATCACTCAGGCTGCTGCATAAGAGTGCATTATAACTAAAAGAATTGCGAGGCACAGAACCTATTTAAAACATGTTGGGGAGGCCAGGCGCGGTGGCTCATGCCTGTAATCCCAGCACTTTGGGAGGCAGAGGCGGGCAGATTACGAGGTCAGGAGATCAAGGTCAGCCTGGCCAACATGGTGAAACCCCATCTCTACTAAAAATACAAAAATTAGCCAGGCGTGGTGGTGCATGCCTGTAGTCCCAGCTACTTGGGAGGCTGAGGCAGGAGAATCACTTGAACCCAGGAGGCCAAGGTTGCAGTGAGCCAGGATCGTGCCACTGCATTCCAGCCTGGTGACAGAACAAGATATCATCTCATAAAATAAAATAAAATTAAATTAAAAATAAATAAAACACATTGAGGAGACAAAATCAAGGACTCTAGAGAAAAATTTGGCCTATAACACTTACAGCTACAGCAAACATTAAACACAGCCTAACCCCTCCGCATATAAACATGAAGCCTCAACCTAAAGATCGCTAAAGAATGATTTACTTCAGTACCTTACCTCATACCTTGTTGTGTATTCAATAAAATATTACAAAACATGCTAAAAGGAGGGAAAAAAGAAGAAAAAATACAAATATATTGTGTGAAGAGACAAAGTAAGCATCAGAACCCAAACTCAGATATGGTAGAGATTTTGAAATTATTAGAACAGAAATTTAAAATAACTATCATTAACATGCTGGGGAACTCCTGTGAAAAGGTGGACAACATGTAGGACCTGATGGATAATGTAAGCAGAGAGATGGAACTCTAAAAAATAATTTTTTTCGTTTGTTTTTGAGATGTCTCTATTGCCCTGGCTGGAGTGTGGTGACAAGATCTCAGCTCACTGCAACCTCCCCCTCCCAGGTTCAAGCAATTCTCTAGCCTCAACTTCCCAAGTAGCTGGGACTACAGGCATGCGTCACCACGACCGACTAATTTTTGTGTTTTTAGCAGAGACAGGGTTTTGTCATGTTGGCCAGGCTGGTCTCGAACTCCTGACCTCAGGTGATCTGACCTCCGTGGCCTCCCAAAGTACTGGGATTACAGGCATGAGCCACCACACTCTGCCAGAATTTTTTAAATGCTAGAAATTGCACACACACACACAACAGACACACACGTACCAGACACACACGCATTTATTATCACAGAAATGAAGAATGCCTTGACTGGCTCATCAATGGGCTAAAAATGACTGAGAAAAGAATTATTGAGCTGGAAGATATATCAATAGAAACTTTATAAACTGAAATGCAAGCTATAAAAAAATGAAAAGAATTGGAGAGAATATCCAAGAACTATGAGCCCATCACAAACCATGTAACAGATGTGTAATGGGGATATCAGAAGAAGAAAGAAAAAAACAGAGACAATATTTGAATTATGAATGACTGAGAAATTTTCAAAATTAATAAGACACTAAAGAATTGTAAGATAAATTTGGGTTGTTTTAAAGCATTAAGATTGTGGTAATTTGTTACAGCAGTAAAAAAAAAAACTAACACAGAACATATAGCAAATTACTAGCATCTATGACAAAATTTTCTTCTTTTGCAAAATGAGTGGTCAGATTCTTAGTATCTAAATTTCTATATTTTTTGCAGACTACTGCTAAATTATACAGTTCTTAATTTTTTTTCTTTCTTACTTGTTTACTTATCTTTCTTTTACTTTCCTGTTTCCTTTCATGTATTTCCTTCCAAGATTTAGTTAACCTTCCAAAGTGAGACTGGTGCTAGATATGTAAAAGCAAGTACACTTGAGAATATTACAATACCATAAAACAGTCAAACAAAAGTAACTACATATCCCATTATGATTACATTGTAAATTACAGGCAAAAGATATGGTAGTAACAGAAGAAAACAAAATCTAGGTCAGCACTCCAAAATTATTTCATATTCCAAAAGCAGCTTTCAAAAAGCCCAGAGATACCATATTTTGAAAGATTGGAAGAACTTGATCATCATTCCAATCAGCTTTTGGCTTTTTCTAAGCAAAACTGAGAATAAAAATTTTTTATTTTCCAATTATAATGGCATAGGGAAGAAAATTGACCGAGGAAGATATTTCACAATTATTAGGTAACTCAGAAGATGAATTCAAGCAAACCATAGCACTCTGTGCAATTGCTATTTGACAGAACCTTCTGTAATGATAGAAACAGTCTATATTTGTGCTGTTAATAATACAGGATCTACCAGTTATTTAAGGCTATAGAACCCTTGAAATTGAGTTTGTATAACTTAGAAACTAAATTTTTTACTTATTTAAAATTGGAATTGCCACATATCACAAGTGTTTACAGCATTAGATGGTGCAGCTCATGACTAATACTAATTAATAATAATGATTAACTAATAATAATAATTAACTAATAATAATGATTAACTTGGTCATAAAAGTAAATCTCAAACTATGACTCTTCATATGATCATATCCTAGGTGTATTTTTTCAAAACAAAATATTGAGTACGATATATATTCCTAAGGAAAAAAAAAAGAAAACATAGCATTCTTATCCAGTAAGTCATTCAACAGGAAGAACTTCACCACACATTATAATGCAAAAAGAATCTGGAACATCAGTTTTGCTAAAGCGACATCTAATAGTATTATTTCACATTTTATGATACTTCTGTGAGAACATTCACGCAATGCAAAGAGGCTGCTTTTATTATCTTTACTACCCCTTTATTATTACTTGCACACATTTATTTGTAAAATGACAAATGTTTAAAAAATTCGAAAGGGCTTATTGGCTTGAAATAGAAAATTGTCATGATTATTTTGCTAGGTATGGTATGGATTAACAATCCCTTTCTATTTGTATTTAGGAAGACTACATTACATTAAGGTTGTAATTCACAGTTTTATGATGGCTACAATTTTCATATAAGCCTTAAAACAACTACTATAAATGATAGATTCTTCTCCATAGTATATATTTAAATTCATGATATTGCTTTCTTACATGTGCTTTCTCATGTATTATCAGTTTCCTTCATAATAGCATGGAAGGGCTACTATTTTAGGATACTGGCTGTCAATACCCAATTAGAAATAGTGGCATAAAATATATGCTTAAAGTTAAAAAAAAAAAACCAGACCAAACGTTTCCACATTTCTGTTCATTTGTGATTGTCAGTCAAATGGGTGAAATAAATTCAAATGAGCAACTGAAAGCCCCACTGAGTGATGAAAATGAAATCCATTATTGGCGCTATTGGGATTCTATGCAAGTCCTCTAGAGTTCTGATACAATAATGACAATGGAGATGATGCTTAGCCCAGCAATTCACAAACTTTGTATTCTACAGAAAAAGTGAAGTTGTTCAATAGATTAAACTTTAGGAAGTGTGATTCTACTTTCTCTATACCTGAAAAAAAGCAGGATTTAAAACAGCACTCAGGATATGTCTCCACCATGCCAAACCAACTGGTCTAGACAAATGAAAGTGATAGAGTAATAAAGTCCTCACATTTATCAATTTACGCGTTCATATGGTCATTTATTGAACATCCTAAGTGTGAACAGTGGCAAGTAGTGGCACACAGGTAAAACAGGGAGATCTCTATTCACACATTTTGTGCAATAAAAATTCTATATCGTTTTTAGTGACAACTAAAAAGTAATGATAAGATAAATATTATTGGCGTCTGTAGTCCCAGCTACTCGGGAGGTCGAGGCAGGAGAATGGTGTGAACTCGGGAGGCGAAGGTTGCACTGAGCCCAGATCATGCCACTGCACTCTAGCCTGGGTGACAGAGCTGAAATGCTTGATTGTCACATGCCTAGCATTCTTCACAATTCTAGGCATATGTTTTCATATACAGGCTTCACAAATGTTTTCATATACAGGCTTATCACCCAAAGTCTCTCACTCTCCAGCTTTTCTGGCCATGCTTTTCCATATTTCCATTGTTTGCCCTAATGATCTTCTTTGCACAAGGTGGCAGTGACTACTTCATTAGCCTTTCATGTTTGTGAGAAACGTTTTTTGCCTGCCCATTCTACATCCTGTTGGAATGTTGAGTTAGAAAAAAAAAAAAAAAAAAGAGGCACTTTGTGTTAGTCCGTTAGAGATTCCCCAGCCAGGTAAAACTCTGTGGAAAAAAACTTTGCTCTGCTCCCTCTGGAACCCGGATCCACTTCAGAAACATTGGCTGCGGTTTTCTTTTCTTTTCTTTCTTTCTTTTTTTTTTTTATTTTTTCTGGAGACGGAATCTTGCTCTTGTCGCCCAGGCTGGAGTGCAGTGGCGTGATGTCGGTTCACTGAAACCACCACCTCCTGGGTTCAAGAGATTCTCCTGCCTCAGCCTCCAGAGTAGCTGGGATTACAGGCACACACCACCATGCCCGGCTAATTTTTGTATTCTCAGTAGAGACAGGGTTTCACCATGTTGGTCAGGCTGGTCTCGAACTCCTGACCTCAGGTGATCCACCTGCCTCGGCCTCCCAAAGTGCTGAGATTACAGGAGTGAGCCACCACGCCTGGTCCTTGGCTGCGGTTTTCTAAGTTGCCACTCAACAGGAAGATATGAGTAGGGCGAAGGTAAGTTAAAATGCCACAAAGTCTTCCTATTGTCTTCCAGTCACCTCTTTGTTAAATAAATAACTGCTTCATTGCTGTAAGTCTGGATTGTTTTCTAGCATTCCAATACAATTGATTCTCACAGTTTCTTCTGGTTTCTTTTCTGTGCTTCTGTTAGTCCTTGGAGTTCTCTACTCCAAGGCCATTAGGCTACAGATGGTCTTACAAATGGAAACCCAAATGAGCTCAACTCACAATTTCTACCAAGGACCCCTGGACTGACCCACTGGCCCTTTGGCCTAGAGAGTTCCCCTCTGGAGGACACTACAACGGCAGGGCCCCTTCTTTGCCCCTATCCAGCAAGAAGTAGCTAGAGCAGTTATCGCCCAATTCCCAACAGCAGTCCAAAAGAAAACTTTTAATGAAGGAACTAATTAAAACAAAGTGGGCAATTTACCACATTAAGAAGAAAAGAAACATATATGCTGATCTCCATGGTTACATAAAAATGTATTTGAGAACAAATTTTTAGCTCGGAAATGACAAAAACATAGCAAACTGTGAAAAAAAGTGAACATTCTTAGGTTGATAAAGAATATACATATATTTTTTAAATTTACAGAAAATAATTTTCTTCCAAACCTCCTTGAGTTTGGAAGTAAGACAAAGGTGCCTGTTTGTTATCACTAGCAGTCAATATTCTCCTGAAACAGCTCTCCTATACCATAAGGCAAGATAAAAAAGTAAAATATTAGAAGTGAATAAAAGTATTGTGTAAACAAAAAAATCCAATAGAAGCTACAAACTATAGGAAGATTACTGAGTAGAAGATCAATGTACAAAATTAATTTTTGTCTGTATCTGTGTAGGAAAGACTCTCTCTAACTGTGCTTTTCCTGTACTCTCACCACAACAACAATCATCAACACAGAGGACTTCTGGGACAAAATATGTGAGGACATTTCCTCAGGCACCAAGCAGCAGACACCAGCTGGATGTCTTCTAATTCAGTTCCCACAGTATTTACCGGGAGATAGTGCCTGATCCCACAGGCTGGGGGCTCAGTCACCGAGACTGCCTCCCACATCCCCAGACAGTAGTTGCAAGTTCTGACCTCTGAAATTTCTGACGCACCAGCTTCAAGTTAGGGTACCCAGGATGCCCTCTTTGGGGTTAATTAATTTGCTGGATTGGCTCACAGAACTCTTACTTATGTGTCCAGAGTTTGTTCCTGCTGGTGGGTTCATGGTCTCACTGACTTCAAGAATGAAGCCGTAGACCTTCACGATGAGTGTTACAGTTCTTAAAGGTGGCATGGACCCAGTGAGTGAGTAGCAGCAAGATTTGTTGTAAAAAGTGAAAGAACAAAGCTTCCACATTGTAGAAGGGGACCCAAGGGGGTTGTCACTGCTGTCTGGGTGGCCAGCTTTTATTCCCTTATTTGTCCTCTCCCATGTTCTGTTCCTGTCCTATCAGAGTGCCCTTTTTTCAATCCACCCTGCGATTGGCTACTTTTAGACTCCTGCTGATTGGTGTGTTTTACAATCCTCTTGCTAGCTACAGAGTGCCGATTGGTGTGTTTTTACAGAGTGCTGACTGGTGCATTTTACAATCCTCTTGCTAGCTACAGAGCACTGATTGGTGCATTTTACAATCCTCTTGTAAGACAGAAAAGTTCTCCAAGTCCCCACTCGACCCAGGAAGTCCAGCTGGCTTCACCTCTCAATCCACCCTCTAAACAGAACACCCCAACTGCTGTTGGGAATTGGGCGATAACTGCTCTAGCTACTTCTTGCTGGATAGGGGCAAAGAAGGGGCCCTGCCGTTGTAGTGTCCTCCAGAGGGGAACTCTCTAGGCCAAAGGGCCAGTGGGTCAGTCCAGGGGTCCTTGGTAGAAATTGTGAGTTGAGCTCATTTGGGTTTCCATTTGTAAGACCATCTGTAGCCTAATGGCCTCAATCCCAGAGGAAACAAATTTGACAAGGAGGTTAAAAATACAGGGCCCGAAGGCAAGTAATAGCAAGATGGCCGTCACGAGAACTAGAAAGGGGAGAAGCCATGTCACCCAACTCCAGAGGTTGGTATAAGAGTTTGAAAGGCATTGTCTGATTTCAGAAGCCTGTCCTATAAATGCCAGGTGGTGTCTCATACTATCCCTAACTGGTTAGTGTAAAAACAACACCCTTCCTCTAAGAAGGTGCAGAGTCTTCCTTTCTCAGCAGTGAGGAGGTCTAGGCCTTGGCAGTTTTGGAGAGTCACTGCTGTCAAAGAGTCTATTTGGGATTGTAGAGTAAGGCTAGACTTTGTTATTTCTTCCAGACTGTCTGAAAAATCCTTTGAGAGTGTGTGGTAGTAGGATAATGAAATAGATAAACTGGCTATTCTGGTTCCTATAGCAATGCCCATTCCTAACCCTGTAAGTAGGGTTATTAGTTGTATGGACCTGCGCTGATGGACTTGAGCTTTGAGGGTCACTGATAGGGTCTGATTTTCTGGGGCAATGTCAATATTGGGACTTAGGAAGACTAAGATGCAGGTGCCTGTACAGTTGGTGGGAAGGCAGATATAGGTTGAAGTTCCACATAAGAAGAATATGCCTTGTCTGGGTAGACAGAACTTGCTGTGTATGTTAAAAAGGTGTGTAAGTTTGTTGTTTTCATTTTCCCAAACTCCTAGAGTACTTGCAAAGGTAGCGCTGGTGAGCAGCTGAAAAGGGGTGTTGGGAGCAAACGGAGTGGCTCCTTGTGTTCTATTTTCCCATTGGAGAAAAAACCATTTTGTATCTACTAGGAGCCATTCAACTGAGTGATTGAAAGAGAGGATGAGAAGGCATTAATTACTGGTGGGGGTACTGATGCAGAGGGTCCAGGGGTGAATGGTCATGCAGGGATATGTTTGCCATTACAAAACCTGGACTGTTTGTTAAGCAAGGAGATGATGGTTTTTGGAGGCCCTGAGAAGTGGACAAGCCATCTGAATGGAGCTGTTTGGGTGACTCGGAAGTTACTATGATGAGTTGGGGATTGAAATTGTAGGGTGTAATTACACTGATGGGATAGTAGGTGCCCCAGGGGCAGGCCTGATAACAGATTGAGTTGGATGCATAAAGGGGCTTGGAAAGTTAAGACGGTATTTGTAGTTACAGGACCGTGTATGGGCTTTTCATTGCTCGTGTAATAGGCGAGGTTGGAAATGTAACAGCATAAAAGTTGGATTGCGTGTCCTGTTAGGGTATCCTTGGTCCTATCAGAGATGGGAAAGTCAGCTACTGATTGCATATTTAGAAGTTGGAAAGGGTCTTTTCCTTCATAACGGGGGTGGTAAGTTAAGTTAGTAAAGATCCAGTTTTTTGCGGGAATGGGAGTGGCAACGTAAGCAGTGGCTGATAGAGAGATACAAAACCAACAGTTGTTTGCCAGGATAGGATTGGACTGGCTTAACAGAGAGTGGGTTAAGTTGAGAGTCTTGTAGAGGTAATTAGGAGCCAGTGGAAGGGGAGGGGCAATTCCAAAGAGTAAGTAGGAAGGTAAAGAGGGTGCCCTGGAAGATGAGAACACTTTATCCAGTCTGAATTAAAGGTAGGAGTAAATTTCTGTCAGAAGGAAGGATGATAGGAAAAAGGTTGATGTGATTAGGATCTTCGTCCCAGCAGGAGCTACAGTATATAGTCTTACTGCCAAGAGTATGGTTAGTATACTGCTTAATAATGTGATGAAACAGTAAAAGGATTCCATTAAAGAGGCAAGGAGAGGTGTTAAAGATTATGTAGGTTTTCACTTATCTTTTTTTTTTTAATAGGAAGGGTTTTTTCCACAGGATCAGTAGGAGCCTTTTTAGTCTGGGATGTTTCCTTCTGAAATAGGAGACCCAAGTCCTCCAGTGGTTCGCAGGTGTATTGAGGCTGGTCTGGCTGATCTTGTGACTCCTGAGCTGACGGTACCACAGGTTCTTCAGGGGATGTCCAAAGTTTAACTCTGGTGTGGTGAATCCAAGATTGCGTTCCTGCCACCTTAACTTCAGTGGGGTTAGAGAGTATTACTGAGTATAGTCCTTCCCACAAGGAATCCATAGATGAGGAGGTAGAGGGAAGGGACTTGACCAACACTAGATCTCCCAGTTGGAACAACTCTGTTCCCTTTTCTCTGTGACATCCTTCGGGTGGGTTTTTAAGGTTTTGTTGACATTTTGCCAAAGAAGTAATATCTTTGACCAAGTTTGCCATTTCCTGATCAAGTAATAGGTCATTTGTAAGAAAAAGTCATCCATGCAGCATTTCCTAAGGACCGAGCCCCATTTTGTGAAGAGAATTTCAGATTTTCAACGTTAGGCCGTGGGAGATGAGTTTCTTGTGTTAGTTTCCTCAAGTCCCTCTTGAGTGTTTCATTTGCCTTCTCAACCTTCCCTTAAGATTGTGGCCTCCAGGCGCAGTGAAGGTGATATTGTTTCTTTAGTACCCTGGAAATTCCCTGAGTTATCGTGGCTTTAAAATCCAGACCATTGTCACTTTGTAAGCTTTGGGGAAGCCCAAATCTACGAATTAGTTCATAAATTAGGACTTTAAGCACTTCCTGAGCCTTCTCTGTCTTACAGGGGAAAGAGTTCTATCCAATTTGTAAAGGTATCAACACAAATCAGTAAGTATTGAAATCCCCTTGACTTAGGCATATGGGTGAAGTCCAACTGCCAGTCCTCTCTGGGATAGTAACCTATTCTTTGTTCCCCCAGAGGGGCCTTACAATGGACCAAGAGATTATTCCTTTGGCACACCTCACAGGCTTTCACTACTTGTTGGATGGTCTGGAGGAGATTTGGCCCTGTAAGTAGGGATTTGGCCATATGAAAAGTTTAGTGAAGGATCTTAAGTATTTTCCACTGGCTGGTTTCGGGTATGAGTACCTTTGCCTCTTCTGTGTTAACCACCTGGAGGTGAGAAAACTATGCCCATTCTGTTTTGGTCAGGTAATACTGGGGCTAAATCTCTTGGAGAGGGTTGTTCTATACCAAGGGTCCTTCCAGAGGTATTTCAAATGGGAGGTTCCGCTTGGCAGCAATTTTAGCCTCAGTGTCTGCCCAACAGTTTCCTTCTGCCTTTTCTCCTTCACATTTTTGATGGCTTCAGCAGTGTAAGTAAGACTGCTACCTCCTTGCATTTTTCCACTGCTTGCAATAACTTCATGATTTCCTTGTGATATTTAATGGGGGTTCCCCCAGAGGTTGGGAACTCCCTTTCTTTCCATATTGCAGCATGGGCATGTAGGATTAGATAAGTATACTTGCTATCTGTGTACACATTTATTCTTTTTCCCTTTCCCAGTTCTAAGGTTCGGGTAAGTGCCACTAGTTCTGCTAACTGGGTGCTGGTCCTTGGGGGAAGAGGCTTACTTTCAAGTACTGTTACATCACTAACTATGGCATAACCTGCCCTTCGAATCCCATTCTCCACAAATGAACTTCCATCAGTATATAGGTTAAGGTCAGGATTAGCTAAGGGGACTTCTAAGAGATCCTCTCAGGAGGCATAAGTCTGGGCTACAATTTGTTGGAAGTCATGCTCGATTGGTTCCCCATCCTCTGGGAGAAAGGTGGCAGGGTTGAAGGTGGCACACGTGCGTATTTGAAGCACCAGTCCCTCAAGGAGAGTGCCTGGTATCTAAGCAAGCAGTTGTCTGATAGCCATAAATTTCCTTTGGCACCTAGTATGCCATTTACATCATGAGTAGTCCAGACGGTGAGATCCTTTCCTTGTATTATTTTGATAGCCTCTGATACTAAGATGGCCACTGCCACAACTACCCATAAACAGTGAGGCCGGCCTTTTGCTACTACATCAATTTCCTTACTTAGGTATGCCACTGGTTGTGGGGTTGTCCCACAAGTGTGAGTAAAGACTCCAAGAGCTATTTCCACTCTCTCTGTGATATATAAGGAGTTTTGTCCTGTGGAAGGCTTAAGGCTGGAGCTTATACTAGGGCCTGCTTTAAGGTTTGAAGGCTGTTTCTGCCTCTGGTTCCCATTATACCAGATGAGCATTTGCCCTCTGGGTCTCCTTGATTAGAGTATAGAGGGGCCTGGCCAGGGGATTCATAGTCGGCAAAAGCTGGCAATTCCAAGGAACCCCCGCTACTGTTTTAATGTCTTAGGGTGAGGATAAGCCAGTAGAGGCTGTATTCATTCCTTGCTAAGGGCCCTGGTTCCTTTGGCTAAGATTAGGCCTAGATATTTGACTTGTTGTAGGCAGAACTGGGCCTTCAATTTAGATGACTTGTACCCTTGATTAGCTAGAAATTTCCAGAGATCTAGAGTAGCCTGCTGGCATGAGGCTTCCGAACTGGTAGCCAAAAGTAAATCATCCACATACTGAAGGACCAGAGTGCCTGGACTTGAGAAATGGCCTAGATCTTGGGCCAGTGCCTGACCAAATACATGAGGGCTATCCCAAACCCTTGAGGCAAGACCATCCACATAAGTTGAGATGCATGTTCTGTGGAATCCTCAAAGGCAAAGAGAAACTGGGAGTCAGAATGCAGGGGAATGGAGAAGAAGGCATCCTTGAGGTCCAGAACAGTGCACCATTCTTCTTCCTCTGATATTTGAGAGAGCAGGGTATAGGGGTTGGGTACAACTGGATATAGAGGAATTACTGCCTCATTGATGAGTCTAAGATCTTGCACTACAGAGTACTGATTGGTGCATTTTACAATCCTCTCATAAGACAGAAGCAACCTATGAATCCAGCAGCCCTCGGAATCAGGGGAGATTCAGATAACTCCACCCAGCAATATGATCAGGCAGTATTTACAGACAAAAAAATGACATGTTACACAGAAACAGATGGATTGGTTACAGCTCAGCATTTGCTTTACATGGACATAATCTGATCAGCTGGAAGTCTGTGATTGGCTGAAGTTTGGCTCCTGTAATTGACTGAGTTTAAGCTACTTGTTACAAGAATATACTCTTGTTAGGTTGCAGTTTGTTTACATAAGTTAGGTTGCAGTTCAATATGTACAGAGGTGGCTTTAAGGCAAATTTAATTTAATTTAGCATTATTAAATATTGAGCACCAAACTGTTACTTCTTCAGGATGACAAAACCTAAGAAGTAGCTATTATTATCCTAATTTTGCAGTAAGCAATGCAAGTTAAAATGATTAATTTGCCCAAGTCCTAATGTTTAAAGAGGCAGAGCCAGGATTCAAATCCTGGTCTCTCAGACTCAAACATCATTGTTGGAACTAAAGCTCTGAATCATAAGCAAAATGAGCATTCAGACAAAGGATTTCTCAGCAAAGCAAATTTGCTTCTGCACAGCAGGGTGCTTCTCTTTGGCCAGTCACCATGAGAGCACACAGAACAAAGGAGAGTGAAAGTTTTTATCCCTGACACAAATATCTGCCCCTGTGCCTTTCCCCATTGGCTGGGGTCAGACTGTATAATCTAAGCTAGACCCGACTGGCTAAACATTTTAACTTTTTCTTAGATAAGGTGGGCATGTAAGGGAGAGAAGGTAGAGGGGGAAGAGGTTGTCTGCCATGAGCTAGAGAGCTAGTTTTCTTCCCAAATAAGGAAAGGAATGTGAGCTAGTACTGATAAGCCACCAGTGCTGTGGCATGCCTAGGCCTGTAACAAAGGCAGAAAGAAAGAAAAAGAGAAGAAAAGGGAAGGGGAGGGGTACTGTGGATTAAAGAATAAATAATTGATCAGGCTATTTGAAGACAAACCTTGTCATATCCCACAATCATTATTTCTTTTACTATCACATGCTGCTTTAAATAAAATGGACCCATTATTTGAACAGGTTGTAGAGCAAGAGTTTCTACTCCCACCACTTACACCACCCAGACATAATAAACTAGCTTGCTGGAATACACGCATAGACTCGTTTTTGTGTATTTCATTTAAAAAATTGTAAATTTTTAAAATTACAATATACAAAAAAAATTAAATTGACACCTGTAGAGTAAGGAAGTAAGAATTACTAGCACATTTAATTTGTGAAAAACAATCAGCTATTTTTTTTCTGAAGCTGCTCAGGTGTACATGTAGACATCAAAAGACTGAAACCTGACCAACAGTCTCGTAAGACAGTTGTTCTTGGATACACATAAAAATTGACCCTTCTGCTGTCAAAGCTTGAACCTTTTGTTTGTTTTATCTGAGTTCCTTCCTCAGGAAAGGACCTTCAGGCCTCTCAAAAAAAAAGTATCAGTGAATTAAAACTCGCCAGATCACTCCACCAGTGCCCCCTTGCCTCTACCTAGTTCTTGTTTTCTTACATTGTTACATTTCTCATCTGCTGTATAAACCTCTAGTTTTAGTTGTTCAGGGTGATGGACCTGAGACCTAGCTCCCATCTCCTTGGCTGCAGCACTCAATTAAAGCCTTCTTCCTTGGCAATACTTATCACCTCAGTGATTGGCTATCTGTTTGGTTAACAGAAGGACCTAGAACAAACCCCTGGTGTTTTAGTAACAAGATTGTAGGGAAGGAGGTCAAGAGGAGAAAAACAAATATTTTGCTTTAAAAAATGCATTTGTTCCATCTCCTAGGTTTTAATTATTTCTGTAGTGTTGAGAGGTTATGACTGTGGACATCACATGACAAAGGGTCTGATATTCATAAAAAAATGGAAGAGGAGATTTCCCACATACCCATCAATATAAGTGATTATAATATCAGCAATCTTATAACTGTTACAATTGTTTTCCTTATTTTGTGCTGAAAACTCATAAAAAATGGAAATATACTTCCTGAATCTTTATATATTAAATTCTTTTAGAACTTCTCTCATATATGTTTCTCAGTTCACACCTTACTCTCTTTATATTGCATTTAATAACTATATTAGTTAATAATTCAGAAATTTTCTGGCTTTATGTCTACTTATTTTTCAAGGTGGTTTTTCACATGCTTCTACTGTTAATGTGTATAGAGAATGTGTTACAAAAGGGAAGACATTACTTGTATTTTAAATTTGTTATATTCTATAAAGTAATGTCATAAATGCCATTTCCTTTTAGTTGTTGATTATATTTCATTTCAAATGACTTTTTATATGATAAGATTCACATATTGAAGTGATTTTGTTTTGTTTTGTTGAAAGTTCACATAAAAAACCCTATAAGGGCTGGGCATGGTGGTTCATGCCTGTAATCCCAGCACTCTGGGAGGGTGAGGAGGGCAGACTGCCTGAGGCCAGGAGTTCAAGACCAGCCTGGCCAACGTGGTGAAATCCTATCTCTACTAAAAATATAAAAATTAGCCAGGCCTGGTGGTGGGTGACTGTATCCCAGCTAATCAGGAGGCTGGGGCAGGAGAATCACTTTAATCTGGGAGGCGGAGTTTGCAGTGAGCTGAGATCATGCCACTGCACTCCAGCCCGGGGATCAGAGCGAGACTTTGTCTCAAAAACAAAAACAACAACAACAACAAAAACCAAAAAAGAAAAATCCTATGAAACACTGATGTAAATTGGATAACCAGTGAATAGCTGCCTGGAAATGCTACTCAATGATATTCCAGTAGTTTAAAAAAAATTTTTTTTATATAGCAAGTACTATATTCTTTTATAAAGAAATATGACGATTTTAGTCTTGAAATGAAAAGTGCATACTTTTAGTTTTATACAATCATGTAATATTTAAATTTTATTTTATCTAGATGTGATGTTTTTGATTTCATAGAATGATCCAAAATATTTGATATGGATAATGAACCCAGCTAGAGTTGTTAACATTCCACTGCAACTAAAAATGAGCTATCCTTCAGGCATTTCTAAAATTGCTGAGTTTATCAGTTTTTAATTTCATGACCTAGTCTGTATACATTATTGCAATGGAACCACAGGCTATGCAGTCAAGATTTTTTCTTTCAGTAACTGTTTGTTAACATCTCACTCTGCACAGTTATTTTAGACTCACTGGCATTTAGGTCAGATTTGCTACTTTGTAATTGTGTGCATTAGTCAGTTTGGATTAAAGTTTGTTCAAGAAAATTGTTTGCTTGACTATAAAGTCGACCTTGCAGTGAAAAAGATGTGGGTAAATCTGTACAGAATGTTTGAGATAATCCTATTGATTCTATAGAATTTTCTGTGTAAAGTTTGTGGTTTCAACTTACTTTAAATAAAACATTCTGATAAATGTTGTATGTTCTGGATTTCTAACAGCAGTGTGTTAATTCCACTTATTACTGCCCCAACACATAATATATACAAATTTAAAAAGAATCCAAAAATTTGAGATTTTCTTGAAGACTCACAAGAATTTGCTAAGAACATCTCCCTAAAAAATTGTTTTGGGAGGAAAGTAATAGGTGTTTTTCACATATTTATGCTCAAAATGTTTTCTAAATAAATATAACCAATAATCTTTTCATCCTCTTGAATAAAATGTGTTGAAAAATATCCTTTGATTCCAGAAAAGTCTTTATTATTTTTATCATACCACATTCTTACATAGCTAATTAACATTATTGTAGCCCAGATAGATGTTTTGTTTCCTGAACATGTGTGATTTCTCTTAGTGATATAATTAGTGTTGTATATGGGAAAGAGAATGACAATTAGAGTCAGGTAAATCTATAATAAAAAATTCTAACTCCACTAAAATATATACTTGAAAAAAAACTCAGTTAATTTATATAATAGTCTGAATTTTCGAATATGTATGGTTTATTTCAAATATAAATAGCCGTTTTCCAGGTTCACAGAACCAGTGCAGCACATATTTAGGATGCAATACATTTTTTTCTCTTATCACAGTTGTCTTTATTCTCCTATAACTTATATTACTCCATATTGCATAAATAAAATAATTTTATATTGTCCAGTTGTTGGATTATAGTTTTTCCAATGTCCACTATTTTTCTGAGACTTCATAACCTTACTCTCACTAAATGGATGCATCTTCATAACTGAGTTATGAGGTGAGTATAATTGGCAAGTTGGCAATTAAGGAAAGCTTAATAAAATAAAGTAAATACTTGATCAAGACTTCTAAAAAAACAAAAAAAGCAACATTAAAATTAACAGATACATTTAATACAGGATATGAGACAGAATAATGTTCTGAGAAATCTCAAGTATTATAATATCTCCAGAGATTTTTTTTTATGTTCTAAAAAATAACTGCTATAAATGTTCATCATTACTTTAACAATCACAGTCCTATATGACAATTATTCCTACTCCAACAATTCTGATCCCTGAAGGGGAGGAGATAGGTGTTATTTTCTCTTAGGGAATTTCTTTTTTAATATTGTCAAAAGCTTGATATTAACCTAAAGGCTCAGGTAGACTCACTAAATTGCCTATGAATCAAAAAATGCTCTCTCTTAGGATGCATGCACAGCCCCTCTATGGGTATTTTCAATATAAGTTTTTCATCCCGCAAGAGTTTTTGGATATCTTTAAGTACTATTATGATCATGTAAATCTTAATGTTTCTTAGCAAAACATGAAATAGACACATTTTTTAGAGATATCTGAGATATCAAAAAGCAGATACATATAATGTGAAACAAAAACTGAGATTCATATATGTTCAGTTTTATAATTACACTGCAATAGCATATTACAGGAATTTGAATTATAAAAAGCTAGAACTTGTGAAGTATGAGGCTACAAAGTTTCAATATATGAGCAAATAATAAAATAACATGAATATTTTCAAAATAGAAAGGCAATAAATAATTGCACAATTTCAAAGCTGCAGACTAAGAAAATTGTGAACTATGTTTATGGCAACATCTTTGAGTAAGTAGACCGAAATCTTGCCCTCTATTCTTTGGACTAGCCTAAAATTATGTGACTGTTCAATTATGCAAGTTGGTTAGAAATGGATTTTGTTTTTTGATCTTGTAACTATGCTTGATAGGAATCAGGTTGTAAAATCTGCCTTTTTTTTCAAATTAGTTTCAGAGCAGGTGATGAACATACATAAAGAGGAATTCCTTCTCCATCAGCAACTGTCTCTAGACAGTCAAACATAATGAGAAATCATATAAGTACAGCAATTAAGCCACGTGAGTGGTTTTAATGCTTAATGACTGGTTTTATTTCTAACTGAAACCAGGGAAGAGTTATTGCTGTGGTATATACTCCTGGGTGACTTTTGACAGAAAGATTATATTGTACACTCTTCTGGCAAAATCTGTGGAATAGCTTGCCACAATATGCCACAATAATCTTGTGGAATATTTGACACAAAGACAACAGACAAAATGTTGTTGTCAATAAGATAAAACATTTTTTAGATACAAAGATGAAACACATATTTGTCATTTTATATAAAGCATTTATTTTCCATGACAACTCAATGAGACCTTCATCATCATCATCATCATCATCCCAACATCCCATTAGAGGTTTTTACTCAGAAAGTCACATATCTACTTAGAGTCAGATACAGAATTTCAACTTCCTTTTCATCATGCCAAATGTTCATCTCTATCTCACTAAAATACATGTTTAAGAAAAATATAATGGTTCTTCATGGAAAGTGGCCAAAAATTCCTAAAGTTAGAACACTGGTCTATGTGCTGTCCTTGAAGAGCTTCCTGGCTTCTTTGTTGATAGCCCTTGTTTTGCCTGAAGCCATAGCTGTTGTTGTTTACTTTATAACCTCTGGTATGGATCACTTTGGCACTTTTAAAGCCATGTGGCAATATGCAATGACTTTGCTGCCATCTACACTGGCCCTTTGAGAACCCTTAGGAATATTTTGGATTTTACCCCACCATATAATGGCTGTGAAATATCCATTATCTGTGACTCTCCTCTTTCTCTTACATAGGTCATTCAATTCTTCAACAAGTGTTTATAAAATGCCTTTTATGGGCTAGGCAATCACACTAGACATTTGTCCAATATCAGTGAAAACTCTCATTTTCCAAAGCCCGTCTCCATTTTTGCCTGGACTTACACTGATGCCAAGGTTACCTCTATGAAATAGAATTGTTTTGTTCTGCAAATAATGTTGTAATTCTTTGGTGCTGGAGATAAAAGGGTGAAATAACAGATATTATTTTTGCTGTTGAAGGGATATTCTAGCTTTCTTTTGAAGGGTGGCAGGCAATAAGCAAATAAACATAGCAAAAAATATTTTTTACAAATTATAATAACATATTGAAGATAAAACAGTGACTATATGTAAAATAGAGAATGGCAAGTTAAGTAAAAATTTCAGGGTATTTTATGATGTGGCCTTAGGAAGTAATTTTTAAGCAAGAAATTTATTCATAATAAAAAATAGTTATAAAAATATCAGGGACAGAAAATTTGAGCCTGAGAAACAGCCAGAGAGACAGAGTGGCTTGAATATACTAAACAAGAGAGAAAGTAGCATAAGAAAAATTTCAGCACAATTTAATAAGTTCCCTTCAACTACAGTGTGAAAAATGGATTAGAGGGATCCAAGAGTGAAAGTAGGAAGGCTAGTTAAGAGGATTTTTCTACTAGCCCAGGAAGAATGGTGATCATTGCAACAAGTATAATAAGAGTGGAAACAAAGAGTTGAGGTCACATTGATTTTGAAAGGGACAGTGTTCAAGATGTCAGAGAATGGCAGTTAAAGATAGCTTCTTTTATTTTTATGTGAAGCAACTGCGTGTCCGTGTGTGCGTGTGTGTGTGTGTGTGTTTGTGTTTGCATGCTGGTGGTGATAGCTTCTTAAAATGGGAAATATCAGTAATAAACTAATTCAGAGTAAATTCAATGGGTCACTGATATAATTTGGCTATGCCCCACCTAAATCTCATCTTGAATTTCAACTCCCATAATCCTCACATGCCGTGGGAGGGGCCTGGTGGGAGGTAATTGAATCTTGGGGTTGGGTTTTTCTTGTGCCGTTCTCGTGGTAGTAAATAAGTCTCATGAGATCTGACGGTTTTATAAAGGGCAGTTCCCCTGCACATGCTCTCTAGCCTGCCACCATGTAAGACATGACTTTGCTCCTCCTTTGCCTTCCACCATGATTGTAAGGCCTCTCCAGCCATGTGGAACTGTAAGTCCATTAAACCTCCTTTTCTTTATAAATTACCTAGTCTCAGGTATTTCTTCGTAGCAGTATGAGAACAAACGAATACAGTCACTTTTGAACAAAATTATTGGAGCTTCTTAGACTTTTGTGGGAAGATATTAAGAATGTAGATATATACATTATCTGTCTTTCAGGAAAAATTAGTGCAGTAGAAGTTTAAATTTCACAGTTACCCACACATAGATGGAGCTATGGTTTGAAAGATAGTTTCCCCTCCAAAATTCATGTTGAAACTTAATCCTCTATGCAGCAATATTAGAGTTGGCCTTTAGTTGGTAATTGAGTCATGAGGACTTTGCCCTAATGAATGATGTTAGATATTTATATAAAAGAGCTTGACATATGGAGTTCATATCTTTTCATGCCTTCCATCCCTTCTATCATGTAAGGACATAGAGTTTTTCCCCTCCAGAGGATGCAGCCATAAGGCACCATCTTGGAAGCAGAAAGCAGCTTTCATCTGACAACCAAACCTGCCAGTGACTTGAACTTGCACTTCTCAGCCTCAAGAACAGTAAGAAAAGAAATCTGTGCTCTCTAAATTTACCCAGTATCAGGTATTGTGTTAGAGCGGTACAAACAAACTGAGACATTGTCAATGTGAGACTTAAAGTGATTGTCACTCTAGGAGATAATTGAAATGAAAAGAAAAAAAGAAATTATTACATGAGGACTTTTTCAGAAATCCAAAAGTGAAATTTTAAATGAAGGAAGAGATGTCGACATAAAATCTCTGGATAGCTTTTTCATTGAATATAGGGTGATTTTCAAAATGTAAGTTCGAAATACATTATCTGTGATCATTGATCTTTCTAGATTTTAGACCACATTCTACCAAGCTCTGCAATCCCTTAGTAATGGTATTTCCTCTTACCTGGGCAAATCTCCTCTCCATTATGCTGTATTACTTGAAATTCTCTCCTCTAAATCCTCCATTGGAAACTGCCATTTTTATTTATCAAAATCCAGTTAAAATGCAACCTCTTCATGAAATTTTCAGGATCACACCAGTTGCTATACTTTTTATACTTTTGTTTCTAATGGATATTACAATAAAGAATTATAAAATATGCTTGTAACTATTTATTTGTATTTATTTCTCTAGTAGATAATGGCCTACTAAACTGAAGTGATTCTTTCTTATTAATCTTTGATCCACAGAACTCAGATTACTAATTGGCACAGTGCAGGTACCTTGTATGAGTAATTATTGAACAGATAGCCATAATGCTTTAAGTGGTTCATAGGCTTTATGTTTAGTCTTTAGTATATGACATATAATGATTTATATAGTAAGAAAATACAATATGTTCTTATGGTACACCAAAAACTTTCATTATATTTAAAACCTTGACGTATCTCAAAGGTGTTATTATAATGTGGCTCTGCTCACATTATATTGCATCATATATACAATATGACTAGATTAAAAGTATTAAGCTTTAATAATTTAAAAAATTATACTACAGCTCTTTAATTCCCTTTATTAAACAGAATACGCTTTACATATATATTAGGTTGATAACATGTTTTAAAGCGACCAGATCAAAATGAAGTTCACTATACGCTGAGCAGATTAAATACCATGATCCTGGGGATGACTGATCTAAGTTAATAGATATTTTTAAGTTATATAATACTTTGGTGTATAATTTTATTTTCCAATATACAAATAATAATCATTGATCTTAACCATTTATGGATATTTGATGAGTAGATAAAAATTATGAGGCCAATTTGTTTATAAGAATGTAAGTTCCCAAAGTGCTTTAGTAACTTGAAAATTTCTATGCCTATTTCCACATTATTTTTAATTTTTACTTTAAGTTCTGGGATACATGTATGTGCAAAAGGTGCAGGTGTGTTACATAGATATACGTGTGCCATGGTGGTTTGCTGCACCTGTTGACCCATCCCTTAAGTTCCCTCCTGTCAATCCCCACCTCCTAACAGACCCTGGTGTGTGTTGTTCCCCTCCCTGTGTCCATGTGTTCTTATTATTCAACTCCCACTTATGAGTGAGAACATGCGGTGTTAGGTTTTCTGTTCCTGTGTTAGTTTGCAGAGGATGGCAGCTTCCAGCTTCATCCATGTCCCTGCAAAGGACATGATCTCATTCTTTTTTGGCTGCATAGTATTCTATGGTGTACATGTAACACATTTGCTTTATCCAGTCTATCATTGATGGGCATTTGGGTTGGTTCCATGTCTTTGCTATTGTAAATAGTGCTGCAATAAACATACATGTGTATGTTTTATATTCCTTTGGATATATACCCAGTGATGGGATTGCTGCATCAGATGGTATTTCTGGTTCTAGATCCTTGAGAAATCGCTATACTGTCTTCCACAATAGTTGAACTAATTTACATTCCCACCAGCAGTGTAAAAGAATTCCTATTTCTCCACAGCCTTGCCAGCATCTATTGTTTCTTGACTTTTTAATAATCACCATTCTGAGTGGTGTGAGATGGTATCTCATTGTGGTTTTGATTTACATTCTCTAATGATCAGTTGATGCTTTTTTTCATGTATTTGTGGCCACATAAATGTATTCCTTTGAGAAGAGTCTGTTCATATCCTTTGCCCACTTTTTGATGTGCTTGTTTGTTTTTTTCTTGTAAATTTGTTTAAGTTCCTTGTACATTCTGGACATTAGACCTTTGTCAGATGGGTAGATTGCAAAAATTTTCTCCCATTCTGTAGGTTGCCTGTCCACTCTGATGGTAGTTTCTTTTGCTGTGCAGAAGCTCTTTAGTCAAATTGGATCCCATTTGTCAATTTTAGCTTTTGTTGCCATTGCTTTTAGTGTTTTAGTTATGAAGTCTTTGACCATACCTATGTCCTGAATGGAATTCCCTAGGTTTTCTTCTAGGATTTTTATGGTTTTGGGGTTTACATTTAAGTTTTTAATCCATCTTGAGTTAATTTTCGTATAAGGTGTAAGGAAGGGGTCCAGTTTCAGTTTTCTGCGTATGGCTAGCCAGTTTTCCCAGCACCATTTATTGAATAAGAGATCTTTTCCCCATTGCTGGTTTTTGTCAGACTTTTCAAAGATCAGATAGTTGTAGATGTGTGGTGTTATTTCTGAGGTCTCTGTTCTGTTCCATTGGTCTTTATGTCTGTTCTGGTACCAGTACCGTGCGGTTTTGGTTATTGCAGCCTTATAGTATAGTTTGAAGTTGGGGAGCATGATGCCTTCAGCTTTGTTCTTTTTGCTTAGGATTGTCTTGGCTATACGGGGTTTTCTTTGATTCTATATGAAATTTAGGGTAGTTTTTTTCTAATTCTGTGAAGAATGCCAGTGGTGGTTTGATGAGACTAGCATTGAATCTATAAATTACCTGGGAAGTATGGCCAAAACCTGGCAGAGCAGCAACAACAACAACAACAACAACAACAACAAAACTTCAGGCCAATATCCCTGATGAACATTGATGCAAAAATCCTCAATAAAATACTGACAAACCAAATCCAGCAGCACATCAAAAAACTTATCCACCACAATCAAGTCAGCTTCATCCCTGGGATGCAAGGCTGGTTCAACATACAGGAATCAATAAACATAATCCATCACATAAACAGAACCAAAGACAGAAACCACAGGCTTATGTCAACAGATGTAGGAAAGACCTTTGATAAAATTCAACATCCCTTCATGTTAAAAACTATCAATAAACTAGGCGTTGATGGTGGAACATTTCTCAAATTACTAAGAGCTATTTATGACAAACCAATAACGAATATCATATTGAATGGGCAAAATCTGGAAGCATTCCCTTTGAAAACTGGTACTAGACAAGGATGCTTTCTCTCACTAGTCATGTTCCACATAGTATTGGAAGTTCTGGCCAGGGCAGTCAGGCAACATAAATAAATAAAGCGTGTTGAAATAGGAAGAGAGGAAGTCAAGTTGTCTCTGTTTGCAGATGACATGATTCTATATTTAGATAACCCCATCATGTCAGCCCCAAAACTCCTAAAGCTGATAAGCAACTTTAGCAAAGTCTCAGGATACAAAATTGATGTGCAAAAGTTACGAGCATTCCTTTACACCGACAATACACAAGCAGAGAGCCAAATCATGAAGTCCCATTTAAAATTCCACATTTTTAAATGTACTTTTGAAAGAAACTATTTTATTTGCTTCATTATTATAGTAAGAATAAATTAAGTAAAGAAAAATAGTATCATAATAATTCATCTAGTCATGATAAAGCCTGTATTATTCCAATTCAGATTAATGCCATTTAACTAAATGGTACCATAAGCAACCACAAAGGGCCCATGCATCTCTTACAATAGTTTTCATTTTCTTGTTTTGCATTTCATTATGTCCAATAAATACATTAGTCACTGAAATCTCTACTTATTCTAAGGAGCTTTTCTTTTCCTCTAGGAATCTAGAAAACATGGACATAAACATAAAATAATGATGATGCTAATGATAATTATCATGATGCCAATGATTATGACAATGAATATGATGACAATGATGATGAGAAAATACAACTCTTTAACTGAATCGTTTAGAAGCATGACCTAGGACAATCACTTGGATACAGGTGGATCATTTGAGACAAAGTAAGAGTAAGGAAGTGAGAATGAGTTGAGGGGAGTGCTGGTGAGACAAGGAAAGAGAAAAGTGATTGCAATAGGACAACTGAGCTGTAGTCAACTAGGGCTCTATCCCTTTGTGAGCCCCGTGGGGAATCATATTGACTATTCTACAGAATTGTACCACTAAAATACAAAAAGTAAGCCTGCATCTGGGAGCTGACCTCTACGCCCATCCCCACCCTACTCCACCACCTCGGGTCTTCTTTGAGTATGTGCATCTGAGGAAGCTTCTTTACATAAGACAAAAAACAGAGGCAGAAAGATAGAGTCTCAGCCACCACAATAGGTGAGACATAACAGGAATCATGAGAACTCTCTACCACAGATGGAGCTGAAATATGTGATAGGTCAAAGGCCTGTGGTATAGGACAAAAATACTGTGTGCTACACCAATGTATTATGGAAGATGAGGACAGTGATGATGATGATGATGATTGATAATGATGATGATATATAAGAGATGGGGGAACTATATTTATGGAAGGCTTAGTAACTTTCAGAAGGTTAGAGGGCTAGAAGATAGCACAGCAGGGATTCAAAACATGGTTTCAATTTCTAAGGTCAGTGTTCCTAGCTGTAATACTACACTGTTTTTCTTTTTTTATTTTGTTTTAGTGTGTAATGTAGATGAAGAGCGACCAAAATAGCAATAGAGTGAAGATGACACTAACTTCTAGTCTAAAGACTATGTAGCTAATCACTTTAAACTAAATGGGATATATATCGATAAGTATTAACTATGATCTTGGCTATTGATATGGTTTGGCTGTGTCCCTACCCAAATCTCATCTTGAATTTCCACATGTTGTGGGAGGGACCCAGTGGGAGGTAATTGAATCATGGGGTGTAGGTCTTTCCCGTGCTGTTCTCATGATAGGGAATAAGTCTCACGAGATCTGATGGCTTCGTAAGGCAGAGTTTCCCTGCACAAGTGCTCTTTGCCTGCTGCTTTCCACAAAAGACCTGACTTGTTCCTCTTTGCCTTCCACCATGATTATGAGGCTTCCCTTGCCATGTGGAACTGTAAGTCCAATTAAATCTCCTTCTTATGTAAATTGCCCAGTCTTGGGTATGTCTTTATCAGCAGCATGAAAACGGACTAACAAAGCTATGTATTTTCTGGCTTCCAGAATTTTCTAAGTTAGGTCTGGTAATTATTGTTTCCTCTAGGAAGGGTACCTGCTGTCAGTTTGTTTGACATCTGAAACTAAACCACAAGCCACACTGAGATAACTGATAAGATAGACTTTACATAACAGTATATTTTAATTTCTCCATTGCAATTCAGATCTCCAGCATGTGGGTTAATGAAACATTTACAGGTTAAGTGCATTTTGCTTAGGTTGACAAAAATGGTTCACATTCATATGCCCTGATAACTGCATCATTAAATGCCGAGCTTCTAATTCCTCCATGTATTTAATGTATTTGTATAAAGCTGGTTTCTATAAAATATAGTTCTCATAAAATTACAAATCACCATAAATATTGAAATCAGGTAAGAATTATATTAATAGTGAAAAGAAGATGTTTTAAGAAGCTTTATTACAAGTAAGCTGATCTATTAAAACCTTGAAATTAGGATGGTTAACCCAGAAAGAAGCATAAAATTCTTATTTTGTGCTTTGGAGTTAGAACCAGTACAAATCTCCTGACAAGGTTCTAACATTCAGGCTCTTCTCTTTTTCTGAGGGTAAAAGACTCTGACTCTAAGGTTAATTTTCTTTTCATTTCTCAACACATACTCAAGAATAAATGAGAGAAATGGTGAGGCCAGGGTAAAAAAATAAAGGATTATTTATTTCACCATCATCAAAATGCCCATTGATTAAAACAAAAACAAAAAACAAATGGCCCATTCAGCTCTAAAAGCACTCTTTTTTAAAAGTTTCATTCTATTTTCTCTTTGTGTCACGATTGCTAAGTTGAGGGGAAAGAGGAAAGAGGAAAGAGGATATCTGTTTTTTCTATTTCTGGGTAAATTCTAAGATTGCATATTGCTAGTTATTTTCTGCTTCCTATAGCTTGACAGCATTTATCATTAAATTTGTCCTATTTATATAATAGATTCATTATTTCTTTTTTCATCTTTCTCTATCATTATTCCCTTATCCAGATTAGCACCTAAAGTTGTTTACAAGATTTGGTCACAACTCAACTTTCCTTTTTTTTTTTTTTTTTGAGACGGAGTCTTGCTCTGTTACCCAGCCTGGAGTGCGGTGGCATGATCTCAGCTCACTGCAAACTTCACCTCCCGGATTCAAGCGATTCTCCTGCCTCAGCCTCCCAAGTAGCTGGGATTACAGGCACCCACAACCACGCCTGGCTAATTTTTGTGTTTTTAGTAGAGATGGGGTCTCACCATGTTGGCCAGGCTAGTATCGAACTCCTGACCTCAGGTGATCTGCCCACCTTGACCTCACAAAGTGATGGGAATACAGGCGTGAGCCACAGTGTTCGGCCTACAGCTCAACATTTATGCCACAATAGTACTTGAGACAAAATAAATAAGAAATTGCAGGATCTGCAATTAAGACAGCAGCTGAAATTTATCAAATGAGGTACTACGTATACTTTTAAAAATTCAAAAATGATTTGAATTTAAACAATCTGACACATGGAAAGAGTAAACATGTGCCTAAAACATACAAATAAACACACACACACACAGTCTAACTTACCTTCTAATATTTGTTTGATTTTTGTGCTAGAAATGAAGAACAAATAACTGAACAGAGGAAAACATTTATTTGGTATTTTTCGTTAGAGATGCCCTGTGTAGCATCATCAAATGGAATAAATAGATTATTTTAGAGTAGGGTGGAGTTACAGCTGGGTAAGCAAGAGAGTATTTTCTTGATCTTATATTGTCCCTTAAGGGCAGGCAGAGTGCATTGCACATACTGAGTGCTTAGAGCATGTTGGATTTTAATTTATTTGTATTGTACCTGAATCATAAGACACCCATCCACTATTTATTCCATCCCTTTACATTTCAGTGTGTAAGTATTTTAACAAATATTCAACAGAGTTAAGTATCATTCCACTGCCATGAAATTACATGAATAACCTATGCATTACCTTATGGTAATTAATGCAAAGTTTGCTAACACATTATTGGATATTAAACAATGAATGGAAAGATAAAACTGTCTAGTAAATAACATCTTACAGTATTTGAATCAGAAAATTTTCTGCATTTAGTTTATTTTCCATTTTTTTCCTATTTTGGTCTGGATTTTCTGTTATGATATTTATTTTCTTATTATGCAATTATAATCACATACACAAATAAAAAGACTTCATCTCTTCATTCAATGTGCTGAAAGTCTATTGGGAGGTACCCACAATGTGTGTCACAAATTTTACACAACAAACATACATTAATATGAGGACCTAGTAGGGAAAATTATATTATTTTATCTTCTTGCTGTTGTCACAAGGATTTATTTGCTCTATCAGTAGACATTTACTAAAAACCCACAGTATTTTTATTTTGCTAGATGCTATGAGTTTTATAAAAATGTACATTCTTGCTTGAGAAAAAGTGAAAGTTATTGTTAAAATCTGTTCTGTGACATAATAAGCTACATATAAGTTATTACTGGAGAAAGATAAATTAATTTTATATTCTGGGTTAGGCTTTGGAGAATAACATTGGATTCGGATATTGAAAGATAAATACTATTAGAGGATAAAATAAGCAGCAGATTGAAGGAATATGAACTAAAACAAAGATCTTGGGAAGCTCAATTGGGAATGAATTGCAAAACGCTTTGTACAGATTTTACTCAAGCAGTGATGAATATACAAACATTTTTATCATGAAAATAATCCTAACCAGTTTTTTTATAGAAAAGTTTACCTGAGAAAGGTAAAAGCTGAGCTTAAATATGGGAGATATGGAAGGCAGAGCTTATTTAAGAGTGACCTGGGATAACTGCTTTAATTTTGATGAAAGACAGGAGTTGTTCCTTAAATCTATCCTAGGAAATGCTGAAGATTCTTCACCTAAGACTGCTGGGATCCCAGCAACATCCCAACTAGGAGCTCAGGGAAGATGAACTGAATAAATAGGAAGAATGGACAGAGTCAAATAGGAACGGGACTAACAATACATCGAAGTTATGACCCAAGCAAAAATGACTCAGTTTTAAACATCAGACAGGAAGGAAGAAAGCTCCAAGATAATTACAAAAAATTCAAAATTAAGTACTCTTTAGGAGATGAAAATTATGTATTTTCTTTTAGCTTAATAAAACTCAAAGATAAAGTGAAGCATCTTATTAGAAAAGCTCAGATGAACCAAAAAATGTGGATGTGGATCTAAAGAGGTATCTGAATGACAGCGTATTATAGGTCATAAATCAATCGATGGAATTTGTGAATGGCATCACCATGCATTTCTGTATGCTTTATAGATTTAAATATAGATATACTCCTATAGATTGAATGTGTGTGCTATTCCAAAATTCGTATGTTGGACCCCAAATCCTCAAGGTATTTGAAGGTGAGATCTTTGGAAGGTTTAGATGAAGTCCTGAGGAGGGAGCCCACATGATGAGATTAGTGCCCTTTCAAGAAGAAGAAGATCAGAGCTCTCTCTACTCTCTTCTCATACATGCATCAAGGAAAAATCCTGTGAGGACATTACCAGAAGGCATTTGAGTGCAAACCATGAAGAGAGTCCTCACCAGATGAGCACCTTGACCTTGGACCTTCCAGCCTTCAGAACCCTGAAAAATAAACTATTGCTTAAGCCACCCAGTCAATTGTATTTTGTTATGGCATCCCAAGCTGACTAATAAATATATCTAAAGTGTGCAGCATTAATTTGTATATTTAAATTTTTATTTAATTGGTTTAGTACTCTAAATCAACAGTGTCCAACAGTCATTTTTATGATGATGAAAATGTTTTCTATTTAAATTATTCACTTTGATGGCCACTAGTATATGTGTCTATTGAGAACTTTAAAATGTGGCTAGTGAGACTAATGAGCTAAATTTTACATTTTATTTTAAGTTACTTATATAAATTTAAATGCTCTATTGAAAACACAGCTTGTATAACCTTATGCAGTCTTTTAAATTTTTGTTTTAATCTAGAGAGAGGAAACCTGTCTTATTTGCCATCTTCTAATGTCTTTCAGCGTCTTATTTTTCCCATGCATTGACTAACACCAGGGTATTACACTTCTTTCCTGTTTGTTTATTTCATGTCCTAAGCTGGGCCAAGTTTTTCATATTTGGACTATAACTTTTTTGTCTTGGAATTTACCAATAGAAAATGTATTATTCCTATGTTCTGTCTATATTATTCCATATCTTCCAATAAGACAAACTCTCAGGAACACTATGTTAAGATTTTTCTTTATTCCTGGCAACTTTCCTACAGAAATATATTTTCTCCTGTTCAAGGTCTGAGTGGAGTTGTTATTCTGGGACTTTTTTTGACCGGTTTGTTGGGTTGTTTACACTGTTTCTGAATACTGTGTCATTTTATTGGTTTATTCTCTTATTTTTCTAAATGTACCCTCAAATATTTTCCAGAAAAGTTGGGTGGGAATACATTTTCTGAATCTGTCAAGAACAAAAATGCCTTGTTCTCTCCCATATTTTACTAATATTTTGACTAAATACACATTTTATTCCTTCCTGTTTTTGAAGATATGGTTTCACTGTTTTAATCTATCAAACATCTTAATGATTCTGATGTCAGTCTGATTCATGCTGATTTGTGGGACAACTCTTTACTTCCCAGAAGATTTTTAAGATCTTTTATTTATCTTATTTTCTAAAATTTCATCTGGGATTTTAGCTTGCTGTACTGTTCTTTATTTCCTAATTTCTATAGCAGGTTCTATCAGTTTGAAGCCTCACATTTTCCTTCAGCTCAGGAAGTTTTTCTTATACTAATATGTAACATCCTCGCTATTGTTTTCAGATTTTTCTCTTTAGAACTCTATTATACATGGATGCTATCTCATAGATTATTCCCTTATGCTATTTTCCTTCTTAAAATGTACACACACAAAATCTCTAGTCTTTTCTTGGGGGCAATGGAGCTGAATTTGGGGAAATTTGGGGAGATATTCCGTTCCTCCTAATTACTTTATTTTTTAAAAATTCAGATTATTTAAACTTTTTTCATGGCATCATATTCTGATTTATAGTTGTAAGCTTTAAAATAGTAACCTCTATTTAAAGATGTTACTAAAAGCTTTGGTTTTTGTTTGTTTTTTAAATATATACTCTTGGCAGATGTTTTCTCCTTTATCTTGGATGATTTATTTTAGTTAAAATATTACTCAAGTAGGAGATTCTTGTGAATTTTTATTTTGAAGAATGAATTGAGAAGACAGCTCACTACAGGTGTTAATGTGTGTTATCAGATTTTGCCAATTCTCAGGCTTTCCTTTAGGAAGAGAGTGCCAGAATCTGTTCATCATGCCTAGGCACCCAGAATGACAGACTGGTCCTCTCCAGGTAATCCCACATTAGTTGTTTACTCTTTCACAGAAAATTGCTGCAATTTCCTTCAAGGTAAACTATCAGGATCTTCCTTTGCAGTCAAGTGTTAAATTGTCAAACTGTTTTTTGTGTGTTTTGGATATTAGTTCAGAGGTGTCACAATTGAGGATGTATTTTCACCACTAAATATCTCTGTGTCTCACCCTGTGTCAGCCTTCTGCCTTAGAGGAGTAGCATAACAATGATAGCAGGATGTTTTTGGAGGTTTCAGCAAAGGAATGCAGATCCTTGCCTGAAAGTTACTTATTTAATTGAGGGCACTCATTGATCAAGTCCAAGCTGGAGTGCAATGCATTTTCTAGTAAATGAAGAAGTGCATGAAAATTAATCAGATTCTCACATCCATACATTCCAGGGTGATGGAGACTGTAGTAGGGAATATTTTGAAAACATAAGAGCTGTTTCTTATTTACTGCTTTGGTAAAAAATCAAGTAGAATGAGAGTCTGAGATTCAGTAGAAAGTGTAAAATGAGGCTGTGGATGGAGTCCAGAGGACCAAGGATTAAGTAGTAAATATTACTCTGAGGAAAATGAACATTCACATTTTCTGTCCTCTATTTTCAAAACAATTGAAATATAAGCAAAAATTTACAGAAGGCACTGGCTAGAGGAAGGAGGCTGGATATCAGCAGACAAGACAAGGATTTAGATGGATTACTGAATGATGAACACCAGATGTAATCACAAAGACAGACACTGCAGTGCAGAGCTTACAGAAGAGGATGTTGCATTGGATATGTGAGTTGTTTATTTTTCATACTGTAGCATTTTTTTCATTATGTACTCCCTCAACACCTCCTTCTTCACAGCAATCTACTCAGCACATAGCGAGAGCAAGTGAGAGGAAAGTGTACTAAGCAGGGTCAGAGATTAGAGGATTAGAACTGCAGCAGTTGAAGAGATTGGCTATTTCTGCCCAATTTCCCCACTTTTTAATGAGCAGTAGGGTATTTGTTCCCATATAAAACACCATGTATATTTGACTTGTCCAGTTCTGCGCACCCCCAAAGCATGCATTACATCCCGAGAATAAAACTCATTATTTTGAGAAGGAAAGAGTGGTTGGCTATCTCAGTTATATCTTCTTACATGTCTTAATGTGAAGTCTTCTTGACACATTCTGAACAGAAATTAAGCACTGGCAGTCAGAGAGAATCTGTATTAACAGTCTATCTTAGTCAACATATGTTCAACAAAGGTATGATTATACAACACTAAGCAAAGTAACAAGATACACAAATAAAACAAATAATATGGAGAAAATAGAAAATTATTTATTATTTTTAAATATTCTATATTGCTTTCAGGATCAGATATTTATTTTAAGTCACATTTTATGAAAGATTTGTTTTCCTTTTTCTTAATATAGCATCTAGTTTCAAGAGCCTAAGTTGTTTTTTTAATGAAAATATATACAATGAAAAATAGAAGAATATTCACAATCACTGATTTTTTTAAAATATTTTTTCTGAAAATATACTTTGATGTTCCAACCAAATAACTCATCCTAAGGGTGTTGAGAATTCAGCAAATGCCCAAGCTTGAAATTCTATTGTGAAGGTAACTGAAGAAAAACACATTTTATGCAGCAGGAGCTCTGAAGGAAGGACAGTTAAATTATTTGATAGTTCATGAAAGCAAGAAACATTACCACTAAATCCCACGTCAATGAATTTTAACACACATGCCCATTTTAAGAAACACAATTCAGCCAAATATAAATTAACAGAAAATGAGTAATAAACAAAATTCCACTTGCAGATATTTGCTTTTTAATTCCTAGGAACCATTATTTGCTTATTTTTAAGCTAAAATCACTCCTTTGCTTATTTTTTTTGAAACCCCCCCCATTGTGTTTCAGAGTAAATTAATTTCTGTAGCCTGCAGCTATTTTCAGTACCTGAAGAATTAATAATGGTGTTGGCAAAGGTCAGCCTCAATTTTAGCAGTTGTATGATCTATCATATTTTTGTTTAAGTGTGCAATGTTTATATATATGATTCTATTTTATTGTTTTTGCTAATCACATGGATTGTAAGGTGAGAGAAATTATATCAGTAATAAAAACAACATAGATTTTGTATGAATTTAGTTCAACTCAAATAACATTTATTGAGCACTGATTAAAAACCTGACATTTTATTATGTGCTAAAAATATAAAAAGAAATAAGGTAATGTTCCTGCTTTTAAAAATTCCCAGATAAAGGAGGCAACTGAAATAAATTAATCCAGGGTCCACTTTTCAGAATTTGAAGAGTTTTAGAGAATGTCTGCACTGATTTTAATCTTTGTTTACTATATATTTCTTCAGAAAATTTGTAAATCTCTTCTGAATTAGTTTGAGCAGTGAATATTAAAATATGTAAAGATGAATCACTCTTTGGAAGCTTCAAGTTAGTTGCAAAATACTCCTTTATATTTAACCTATTAATTAAATCATAAAAATAGTCCTTCATGCTCTACCATTCACTCCTGTCTCTTAACACACAGTGTTCAGTACCAGTCTAGATTAATTAGTTCCCTATGGCCATTTTCATGTAACATGTTAGCCTTTTTTGAGTCACTGTGAGTACTCAGAATAAATAGAAATGAATCTTGAAAGCCATTAACTTAAACTCCAATCCTCTGAGTCTCTCCTAAATACCCCTAACAAATTGTCATCTTGCCAATGCTTGAGAACCTCCCACACAAGGAACTCTTCACTTTATGAAGCACTTTATGTTCATTAAATTAATGAACAGCTCCTCTAACATTGGAAAGATCTTCTTTAATTGAGCTGAAAACTGCCTCCTCTTTATTTCCATGTTCCTAGTTCTGCCTTATGAAGCAATTCTTTCTTCCAAATGCTAGTCCTTTTTTATCTAAAGCTATTTTCTGCCTACTTTGCTTTCTGCAATTCAGGTTAGACTTTCTATATGTATTTTTAAAAATAATTCCTAGTCTGGACACAGTCTAGTTTGTTAATGCCTGACATACAAATGCCATATTAAATACTAGTAGCTATAGGTTTGCTGTGAACATCCTAAAAGCTAAGACTCAGTTCAAAGCACAAAATGACGCAAGATTTCAGTGACTCACAGAAAGGAGAGGTTGGGCCAAGCACATAATGCAAAGTACTTCATCAGAGCACATTTTTACATGGAAATTGAGATGGGTCCAGGGAATCCACCAGTCAACTTCAAAAATGGATGTTTGCTGATTAAAAGGATTACTTTTTTTGATTAAAAATTAATTTAATAGCTTCACATCTTAGTCTTATAAACCAGCTTAATACCAAGAGCCATCCAACCACAAGGGCCATTCAGGGGACTAAAGACTGGCTGTCTTTGGTTCTCCTATTCATCTAGACTTGAACAAGTATGTAAAATGTAGTCAAAAATAAAAGGATCAGTTTCCTGTCATCTGAAAACCATTTTTTTCCACACTGATGACTCTGCATCAACTAGTTTTCAGCCTATTATTCTGCTCAAATTGAGCTTTTAACCACAAAAGAACTCTCAAGTTTGCAACACTTTCACTGTACATGTATAATTTTAATATCACTGTAATTATTTAATTTAATGCTATGTACTTTTTACGATATTTATGATTTTAATTCAGAAATTTACCTACTTATGCTAGTGTCTCACTTAGTATAAATTGGTGAGGTTTTACTCTTTCTCTATGTCTGTTTTATTCCTTCCACCAAATTTTCTTCAAATCTGAATATTTCCTTGGCATTGAGAAACACTGTGGCATGTGATTAAAGAACCTCCTATCTATACACACTTCTATGGAGTAAAATGTGTCTCCCAAATTCCTATGTTGAAGCCCTAACCCCCAGTGGGGTTGTACTTGGAGATAGGGACTTTTAGGAGGTAATTAAAATTAAATGGTATCAGAAGGGTGGAACCTTAATCTGATAAAACTGGTGTCCTTCCAAGAAGAGGAAGGGATATCAGAGCTATCTCTCTCTCCTCAAGCACACAGAGGAAGGGCCTTATGAGGACACAGAGAGAAGGCAGCTGTCTTTAAGCCAAGAAGAAAGGCCTCACTAAGAACCACCCTGCTATTATCTTGATCTTGAACTTCCTGCAGAACTGTAAGAACATTAATTTTTGTCATTTAAGCCACTCAGTCTGTGGTGTTCTGTTATAGCAGCCAGAACAGACTAATACACCCACAACATACAATCTGTATTACAAAATATACTTGTATAGGTTACCTTACAGGGTGCTATAAAAACCCAGATGAACAAACACAAATTTCAGGGAAATATTCCATGCCCTTAAAAATAAGCACATTTTCATAAGTACATCAATAATTATTCTAACTTTAGCAAGCCAGTCACATTTCACTGGCACTTCAAGTAGACATCTTAAAAGGAGCTTACTATGAGATAATGCTTGTTATGTTGCTCAGATGTTCCATTTGCAACTTCCTCCAAACATTCTTGCACCTCCCACCTTATACACCAACACCCTTATTTATTTCAGATATACTTAGTGAATCGTCACATCGTAAGGAAATGGCTGTACTGCTTCAGGGAGTCCAGGAGCCTGGGCCAAGTAGAGTATATGTGCAGATCAAGAAGGACATGGATTTGGACAAAAATGAGTGATTCCAGATGAAATTTGTCTGGATGGTAGGCTACAGTAACAAGGTGCATATTTACATTTCTTATGTTGATAGGGAATATCTGATGCTTATAATGAAGTTTTAAAACAGTGACAAACAAACAAAAAACACATCTCCAGGGGTTATAGATATTTGAATACCCAAGGACCAGGAGAATCAACGTGATCTCTAACTGAGCTGAATACACCAAATCGTTTCACCAGAAGGCTCAAGGAAATCTATATTGAAACAAGCCTGCTACTTGCAGGAATAAGTAAAATTTATTTCATGTTGAAGGCCAGTAAGTCTGCTTCCTGGTAGTCAAGAATGTATGCTTCTTCCTGTTAGATTTGGAGAGATTAATACCCTTTGATTCTCTGCTGTGTGGCTATGAAATATCCTATATAGGAACAGATAGGGAGTCTCTGGTCAGAGTAGGTCCCTGTATTGCCAAGAATTATTGACTGAGCAATCCCATCATAGTCAAATCAATCAATAAGAAATTCCAGTGCCTTTACCATTAAACTATTAAAAGTGTTTCAAGGTCTAGTGAAGCCTCCAGAATAACCATTCAGATGACCTACATTTTTAGTATGAAGAGTAACTATCATCTCCATTAATTACATAATATTATCCTGCTCAGCACAACAGATAGTGTCATTAAAAACCATGATTACATTCAAGATTCATAACATTTGTTCCTGAAAACCTTTCAAACCTTTAATAATGTTTTCTTTTTTAAAATTTTTTTCAAAGTACCTTTCTCTGAAATTCAATCTAATTATTTTTCTGGGTCTGTCCCTCCTTTGTTTAAAAAATAAAACTCTTGGTTTTGATCTTTGTTGATACACATGTAACGCCCCAACAACAGCAGAATACATATTCTTCTCAAGCACTTACAAAAATTTCTCCAGGACAGGTTACACTGTGACCTGTTTGAATGTGACCCCTCCTAAATGTAGATGCTGCCAATGTAATAGTATTAAGAGGTGGGTTTTTAAGAGGTGATTAAACTACGAGGACTTCTCCCTTGTGAGTGGGATTAAGTGCCCTTAGAAAAAGGCTTAATGGAGAGTTTGTCACTTTTGCCCTTCTGCCTACTGCCATGTGAGGACATGGTATTCCTCCAACTCCAGAGGAAGCAACATTCAAGGCACTGTCCTAAAAGTAGAGAATAATCCTCACCATACAACAGAATCTGCTGGCTCCTAGATCTTCAATTACCCAGCCTCTGGGACTGTGAGAAAATGCATTTCTGCTCTTTTATAAATTACGTATTCTGGTATTTTGTTAATGACCTGCCTTAAAGCGAGTCCTAATAAATTTATACAAAGAAAGTTCTCTGAGTACAGTGTAAGGAAATTAGAAATCAGTAACAAAGAAATTTAGAAAATTCACAAATATGTGGAAGTTAAAAAATAGACTCTTAAATAACCACTGAGTCAGGAAATGAAATCACAAGGGAAATTATAAAACGGTCTGAGATAAATTAAAATAAACACAAAATACCAAAACGTATGGAATATAAGTAAAAGAATCTTTAAAGGGAATTTTATAGTTGTAACTTTATGTTAAAGAAGAAAAAAATTTAAGTCAATACCTTAATCTTTCACCTTAATCAACTAGAAAGAAAAGTGATATCTTTTAAGGTAATTAGCTTGGATGTTATCTAAACATGCCACATAAAGAAGGCAAAAGCAGTGAAATAATAAAGATTAGACCAGAAATTAGTGAAGTAGATAATAGAGAAACACTAGAGGAAATCAATGAAACTTTAAATTTGTTCTGAGTCAACAAAATTGATCAACCTTTAGATAGAATGAAATGGAGGACACAACAGGATTATACTCAAATAAAAATAATGGTAAGAAAATACTAAAAACAACTGTATTCCAACAAATTAGATATACTAACTACTGAAACTCACTCAAGAATAATTAGAAAACATGAATAGAAAACAGAAAATCTGAGCAGACTTCTAAAAAGCAAAATAATTGAATTAGTAAATTTTTAACTTTTATTTCAAGTTCAGGGGTATATGTGCAGGTTTGTTACGCAGGTAAACTTGTGTCATGGGGGTTTATTATAGATTGTTTCATCACCCAGGTATTAAGCCTAGTATTCTTTAGTTATTTTTCCTGATCCTCTTCCTTCTCCTACCCTACACCCTCCAAAAGACCCGAGTGTGTGTCATTCCCCTCTATGTGTCCATGTGTTCTCATCATTTAACTTCCACTTCTAAGTGAGAATGTGTGGTGTTTAGTTTTATGTTCCTGCATTAGTTTGCTAAGGATAATAGCCTCCAGCTCCATCCCAGTCCCTGGATGATCTTCTCTTTTTACGGCGGCATAGTATTCCGTGGTATATATGTACCACATTTTCTTCATCAGTCTATCAATTTAGAACAAAAAATAAAACAAATAAAAAACTTCCCACAAAAGAAATTCCAAGCCCATGTGGCTCCTTTGGTGAATTCTATCAAATATTTAAGCAAGAATTAATAACAATACTTCATAAAATCTTTCAAAAATACAATTTTTAACTCATTGTATATGTCCAATATTACCCACATACCAAAACCAGACATATAAATGCATGACAAAAAAAAGAACAGCAGATTAATATCTATAATAAAAAGGACACTAAAATGCTTGACAACTAGTGATTCAAATCTAGCAACATATAAAAAAGATTATATAAGAAATGGAATTAATCTAAAAACTACAAGGTTGTTTTAATATCTGAAAATTAATAATATAATATGCAATGTTAATAAAATCAAAAGGAAAAATTGATGATGATTCCAATACATACAAGAAAAGCATTTAACAAAACCTAACACCTCTTCTTGATTAAAAGATGACTAGGAATAGAGGAATATCCCACATCATGATAAAGGACATCTACGACAACCCCAGCTAACATTATACTTAACTGTGAAAGCCTAAATTACTTTGCAGTTAAGATCAGGAATAAGACAAATATGGACATTCACCACTGCTATTCAACATTTTACTGGAGGTTCTAGCCAGGACAACCAGGCAAACAAATGAAATCAGGAGCATCTAAGTTGGAATGGAGAATGTAAAACTATTTCTACTTTCAGATGACATAATTTTTATATCAAAAGTTCTAGGGAATCCACCATAAAACTATTATAACTAATAACTGATTTTAGTCAGATTGACAGGTACAAACACAATATAAAATAATCAATTGCATTTTTATACACTAGCAATAAACAATCCAAAAATAAAATCAAGAAAACAGTTTGATTTAAAACAGTGTCATAAAGAATGAAACAGGAAAAAACGTAATCAAAGAAGTGCAAAACTTGTACTCTAAAAACTATAAAACACTGTTAAAGTAAATTAAAGTATTTCTAAGTTTATGTGAGGGCATTCCTATTTATGGATTGGAAGATAATTTTGTTCAGATAATAATATTCCTCAATCTAATCTACAGATTAAATGTATTCTTCATCGAAATTCCTACTAGCTGTTTTTTTCTCTTTTTTTTTACTTTTTTTTTTTTTGGAATTTTGACAAGTGGATCTCTTCTCTGGGCAGACAAGAATCCACAATTCCCAGAGCAACCCAAACAAGCTTGAAAAAGAAAAAAAGTTGGAAGACTTACGCTTTCTGATTTCAAAACTGATGACAAAACTATAGTATTCAAGAAAGTTTGCTGTGGATATGAGGATATACTTGTAAGTAATATAGAATTATAATTAATGTAAACTGCAAACAATGGATACAATTTTAAACAATGTTAATGTAATCAATAGATAGAATAGATTGGATAGAACAGAATAGAAACAATGGATAGATAGAACAGACAGAATTGTAAACAATGTAAACTGTAAACAATGGGATCAAATTTGACCATCCAGAAATAAACCTTCATATTCATTGTCCATCGATTTTTGATAAAGGTGCCACACACAATTCAATGGAATAAGAATAGTCTTTTTACCAAATGATGTTGGGTCATCTCGATATCACATGTAAAAATTGTTAGACCCTATCTCATACCATACACAAAAATTAAGACAAATTGGAGGTAGATGTCAATGTAAGTGCCACAACTATAAAAATTTATGAAAGTGTTATAAGTTTTTGTGATACTGTGTTAGGCACAGTTTTACTAGACATGACATCAAAATTACGTGTAAAATAAAAAAATTAGGTTTTGTCAAAATTAAATTTTTTGTACTTGACACCATCGAGAATGTCAGAGGATAACCCATAGAATGGGGAAAAACATTTTTCTGAAGTATATAAACGGCCAATAATAAGTACATGAAAAGCTGTTCAACATCATTAGCCATCAGAGAAATTAAACTTCAATGAGATATCACTTCAGACCCACTAAGCTATAATCAAAAGACATAAAACAAATAAGGATGTCGATACAAAGAAATCACAACTTTCATACACTGCTAGTGGGAATGTAAAATAGTACAACTTCTGATGGTGGTGGTGGCCCGTCTGGAGCAGCCACTGCAGGGAGGCCAATTGCAGCAGGGGAGGCTGTGTGCTCCCCAGAGCCGAGCAGGCAAGGGCTTGGAACAGGTGGGAACCCCACTCCCTAACTAGTTAAAGGGACAGGTGCCCCCTGCTCCTGGGCGCAGCTGCAGCCACCCAGCTGCAGCTCTGGACCCAGACATTCCTGGGCACTCAGGGGCCTGGGAGGCCTCCTTGTCCCTGCAGGCTGGGAAGTGCCTGCTCCGGCTCCCAGTGCCTGCTCAGGTGCAGAGCAAAGTTGTCCCCGAGCTTGGGTGCTGTCACAACCTAGCTGGGTGTGTGTGCACTCAGGGTGGCACTGATATGCCAAGCCCCTGCTGCCTCAGCCTCCCTCTGAAGCTTAAGTCACCCATGAGCTCAGGAAGGGAGGCCATGGGTGCTGAAGGAGGCACCGTGCAGGACTCCTCCGCTAGCAGCCAGGGTGCCCTTGACAGCATGTTGATGGGGGTAGGCAGGCTCCTGAGCAGAAACAGACAGGTCCCCATTGAAACCCCACCTTCAAACCAGGAACAGCCTGAAGACTGGGGGCCAGGCTGTCAGTTCTGGGTGGAGTCTGTGGCTGGAGTGACAACTTACAATGCTTTTTCCAGCCCACCCATGGCCGTGCATAGACCAATTAGCAGGCACTTCCTCCATTCTGAGCCCATAAAAAAAACCTGGATTCAGCCAGACTTGAACAGATGTCAGGACTACCAGCTGCTGGGAGAAGCAGGAAGGAACTACCCACTGCAGATCTCCTCTCTGCTGAGAGTTGGACAGTCATCCCAATGATCTGTCTGCAGAAAGGAGCTGCCCACTTTGGGTCTCCTAAGAGCCCTTCTGCTACTCAATGAAGCTTCTCTCTGCTTTGCTCACCCTCCAGTTGTCCACATCCCTCATTCTTCCTGGACGTAGGACAAGAACCCAGGACCTGCCAAATGGTGGGACTAAAAGAGTTGTAACACAAACAGGGCTGAAACACACCACCCCCTGCTTGCCACGTTGTGGGTGACTAGGAGAGAAGGCTGCAGTCCTTAAGGGAGCCTAGACCTAGGGCATCTCCCAGCCAGGGCTATGATACCCTCTTTGGGGCTCTGGGGTTCCTGGCGTCTCCAAGCTTATAGGCGCCACAGTGTTCCCCTCGTCCGTACGTGGTGCCTGGTGCCCACAGTGGAAGCCGCGTGTAGTACCTCTTGTCAAGCCACAGCCTCACACAGAGCCAGCACCTGTGTCAGCACCTGGAGCTGACCACCCCACTGCAGCAGCCAGTGTGCCTGGCTGTGAGCAGTAGCCGGACCCCACACTCACTCATCCATACACCCCTCGCTGCTCCACTCCTGGCTTACCCTCGGTAGATGTGGGATCTGGGCTGTTAGCATGAGCTGAGCACAGTCTGCTGCGACGAGTGAGCAGAACGAGTCCAGCAGGCATGAGCAATACTCACGCAGAAGGCGCCGCCAGTCACAGAGGTTTCTGCCTGGTGAAGCAACATCCCAAGGATCTCGTGACACCTTTTTATAACACAGTTTGGTGGTTCCTCAAAATGTTCAGAATAAAGTAACCATATGACTTAGCAATTCCAATTCCAGGTATATACTCAAGAGAAATGAAAATATACATCAAAATAAAAATGTGAACACAAATGTTCACAGTAGTATTATACACAGTGACCTCAAATTGGAAATAACCCACATTTTTATCACCTAATGAATGGATAAATAAAGTGTAGTATATCCTTACAATGGAATATTATTTAACAATATAAGGGAATGAAATACTCATACAGGCTGTGAGTATATTTACATGTATATATACAACACAGCTGAACATTAGAAACATTATGCTACGTGAAAAAAGTTATAAAAAACTCATATTGTATGATTCAATATTTACTGATGTACATTTCTTGTATTTTCTTATACCACAAATAAGGTTCAGGACTTCTTTACTAGTACATGTGTTGAATTTATTGCTGACCATATACCAACATCATTTACTGATGGGATATTCTTTTTTTTTTTTTGAGACGGAGTCTCGCTTTGTCTCCCAGGCTGGAGTGCGGTGGCGCGATCTCGGCTCACTGCAAGCTCCGCCTCCCGGGTTCACGCCATTCTCTTGCCTCAGCCTCCCAAGTAGCTGGGACTACAGGCGCCCACCACCACTCCTGGCCAATTTTTTGTATTTTTAGTAGAGACGGGGTTTCACCGTGTTAGCCAGGATGGTCTTGATCTCCTGACCTCGTAATCCACCCTCCTCAGCCTCCCAAAGTGCTAGGATTACAGGCGGGAGCCACCGCGCCTGGCCGTGATATTCATTTTTATTGGTTAAACTTTACATGGTTGCAGGGATAGTAAATTATGGCTATATATTCAGAACTTATAATTACATAGTTGAGCCTGGTGTATGATATATTACATTTACCTAAATAAGTTTCCCTCAGAAAAAAAAACTAAACTAAACTAAACTAAACTACACTGTATTCACCTTTCCCTCAAAAATATCCTTGAAATGTAGACAAACACCAGAGCAGACTTGCTTATGTTACACGTACGGCACAATAGTTCTTTTTTTTCCCCGTTTGATATTTACATAGAGGAAGATCTTAAAGAGCTTCCGGTTTATTATTAAACCTTGGAAGCAAGGCGATGCTAGGCCTGCCTCCTTTTCTCTCTCATCTGAGGACAGGATACACCAAGCGCCACAGTGTCTCTGTGTCTCACCACACATTATGGCCAAAAAGAAAACTACTCAGCCAGACCCAACTGAGTTAACAGATGCTATTTATCTTAGCAGAAGGTAGAGGTGAAAATTCATCCAGGAAACATTATCAAGATTGCCTGTTAGCGATAATAAGCTCGAAAAATAGCATCGGTATTTTCGTCTCCCAGAGTGATCTCTCTTTATTACTTTATTATAATGCTCTGTGAATAAGCACTGGAAAAAGATAACCAGGGCTAAGTGTCAAAATACAAATTAAGCGTGGACTCTTTGCCCACTAGACTTCACAGGAGAGTCCTCTGCCTATCTCCTTTTTTATACCCTATGATCCTGTAGAAAATGAAGAGGATGAAGTTAACACTTGCTCTTCTTAATATCTTCAGTCTCCTAGAAATTCCCTGGTGATACTTTAATATTGGTTATATGTTGGTTATGTGTTCTCAATTGCCTTCCATTCTCTATTCATTTCTCTATCCTTAGTGTTTGTTTCTTAAGAAAAAGAATCCTAGAGATGGAAATTAAGAATGATTTAGAAATCAATTATGTCTTCTTGGGATGGAGAAAAGGTATTCCAATATAAAACTTGTATCTACCACCTATATCCAATTCATTAATAATTTAGTCATGAATCTTCTAATGTAGACACACAATCATAATAGTCAATACAGAGGTAACAGGTCAACAAACCTTACATCCTGCTCTAATACAAACTAAAGAAAATGTTGCAGGATTCTGGAGCCTTCCTTAGTGAATTTGAATTCTCTGTATGCTTCTGTGTTACACTCAATAATTTGTGAATATAACATACATATCATTCTGTTTTTAAAGAATATAAATTAATTAGTAAACACAAAATTAATATAATGAATGTAAAATTAACCCTTAATACAGTTAATTTTATATAGAAAGGGCTTAAAGTTATCCACTGTGCATAACCAGTCCTATTTCATTTGTATTTACTATAAGAAGCATATTCTTGAGGCACTAACAATACAACTTATTTTTATAAATAGGAGTTGTGATGTTGCATAACATGATTTAATATTTTGACAGAGGCAAAGACTAGCTAAACATTAGTTACTCTCTATTTACATAAAAATAAGTGACACCTAATTCTCCACTGTTTTTAATTCTCAGATAACTATTGTTATATAAAGCTCCTTTTGTTTTAGCCTTTAACTAAAGAGTATACAAAATGGAAATTCCTGGGACAGCAAGCTACTGAAAATTTATTCAGTGGAAGTAAATGAGTAGGTGGTTATTTTGGTTATTTGAAAAGAAATCCAGATATCATAGTTGCTATCAACAGTGTAGCTGCTAACAGTGTCCTCAGGATACAAATACTTTTTCTGGCTGCTCGCTGTCCCATGTTGTGTCTTGATTTAATTCATGTGACCTCTTGGTCAAAACATGGGCCTTGCAGCTTCAAGTTCAGATTCATGTTCAGATTCAAGAGAAAAGGGGAAGAAAAGGGGAAGGAATGCCACCAACTATCATCTGTCTCTTTTCACTGGAAAAGTTTTTTGTTGTTTTTGTTGTTGTTGTTGTTATAGTCTATTCTAAAATCCACAGAGCAAAATTCTTCTGATATTTCCTTGGCCATTTCTGGATCATCCTCCCCATCAAGCTGCAAAGGAGTTAGATACATTAATGACATGACAAGTAATAGGACTGCTGTTATTAATATAGAAAAAAACATGATATACTATTTATCATATGTGGCTTGGGCACACACTCAGCCCAGCCAAAATAAAGGAATTGTAAGCAAGAAGGGTAGCAGAATAATTCTCAGGTGACAGACATATATCTAGTGTGGAATATTCAATATTACAATCAAATTAAATTGCAACTCACACTTTGACACTGGCAGAGGGAAATTGCACCAAGAGTCACATGGAACTGAATCTGTGTTTTGGCAGCTCACCTCTCACAGAGACAAAGCCTCCTCTCCTCCTATGCCTGAGTGTCCATCAGACCCAATTTTTAAACTGGAAAAACTTATCAGGGAAATTAATAATAAAATACAATTGTATGACGTTAGCTATCATCACTGAGGACAGAAAAGTGTTTAGAAAACAAATACCACTCTTTTTAAAAAACTTTGACTCTTTCCTATTGCTCTTGGAATAAGAATCTCTTTCATTCAGAAACGTTGTGAGAGTGTAATATCAACAATACTAAGTAGAAATTGGTGATCATTTTGGACAACCTCATAAGAGCATATTATTTTTATTTCTAACATGATCATGCCCTTGGACAATTCCTGACATAGGGTATTGTGCAAATCACTTAATTATGACTAAATCTTGTCCTTTTAAGATTCATATTTTAACATTCACCAAACATAATGCTTATGTTTCAGTGGGAGAAATAATGATGTTTCCAATTTTTATGCATGATTTTTTAAAATGGGACTGAGAGAGTCCCATTTTAAAATTTTTGGGAAATACATTTGGTTTTAATTTATGAACATACTTGGAACTTTGATCATTCTTCAAGGACAAAGATGTATCTTGGAGGCACTATATTATTTTATATCTTTGATGTCTGATAAGATTCCAAAATATTTAAGTTGAAAGACTTGATGGTCCACAGAGAAAAGAGAATACTATTGCTGTCATCCTTAATGAAATATGGTGTTTTTACTTCTGTTACCTCAAGCAATATTCACAAAGCATGGAGCTTTGCCATGCTCTTAGCAGTATTTGTACAGATTTGGGAAAAATACATGTTTTATCTGTGCTTCAATCTGTCCATGTCTTCTCCACCTCCCCCTCAAAAAATGGTATGTTGTTCTTCCACAGTTCTTCATATGTGATGAGACACTGTCTCATGAACAGAGAAACTTAATCATTGCAAGTGATATGTGACATTCTTAACCTTCTCCTTAAGGCACAGTCAACATCCACATTGGAACTTTTAAGCATTTATGGGTCTCCATCAGTCTTCAATGCATAGTTCTTATGTATACATCTTCCCTTGCCTCTACTGGAACTGATCATTTGTTTTATTTGACTCAGAAACTTGCTTTATTTAGAAGCTGGAAACATACATCTGTAGTATTGACAAAAGCCTATTCATAAAACGTGGAGATTTTGCCATCTATTCCAGAGAAAAGTCAATGTGGAAAAGTGAAGTGCAAAATTATTTCTGACTTGTGTTATTTTTGAGTCATGTATCTCTGCCTTTTTATGAACAGCAGGCATATTTGGAAGAATTATATCTGAGTCATAAATCCCAATTTGCCTGGCACATGACTAATAGGTGTCTTTAACGTAGTAAGATGATATTGCTGTCCTATCTTACAAAAATTATTTAAACCCTCAATCACAAATAGGGAAGGTCAGATTTAAGCGACAAACATTAATGCTTGCCTCGTCAGGAAATAAGCTGCTACTTCCTCTCCTAGATCACTTTGTGGAAATACACGCACACACACACAATTTTATTTTATCATTTTGTTAATTAGCAAGCAAAACCGCCTTGCTCGATCTTAGAATATAGAATTTGTCAGGAACGCATCAAAGAAATAAACATCAGGTGAGTCAAAATTCAAGATGTTTGACTGATCCCTGTTTGAAACAAGGAGAAATACATATCCTATTTAATTGAATAATGGTTCAAAGTGACTCCCTCTTACCATAAATTTTTAATGATATAAAATATTTGTCTAACTCCTTCCCTTCTATACACTCTTCTATGTAACAGTTTATAAATATTAATGCAGGATTCTCAAAATATATAGGAGAAATCTGAAAATATTCAAAAAGCATGAGGTCAGAGTAAAGCACTGATATTTATGAGTAAAACAGACAACAGCCTTCAGCTATAGTCTGCTGAGTTTAAGACCTAATCACTTAGTCATAGATGTGGGGTTATGATCCTGGGGTCCACTGGGACCTCGCATTTCAGCCACATTGTAAAAATAGTGTTTGGAATCCACGCAGAAATTCACATGTTATTGTGAGTGAAATATCTTTGAGTAGAGATCTCACTAAGGGAGAGTAAGACTGGGAGAGAAGTTACAAAGCATTATAGACATTTGCTGGCTGAGTAAAAATCAACTGACTTGGAGCACAGGTGGCAAAAAAATGTGTGAGACTTATTTTGGGAACTCATGAATGAGGAACAGTATTTGGAGTTTTGCTTTTTTTTTTTTTTTTTTTTGAGACGGAGTCTTGCTCTGTCCCCCAGGCTGGAGTGCAATGGCGCGATCTTGGCTTACTGCAACCTCCGCCTCCTAGGTTCAAGCTATTCTCTTTTCTCAGCCTCCTGAGTAGCTGGGATTACAGGTGCCCACCACCTCATCTGGCTAATTTTTGTATTTTTAGTAGAGATGGGATTTCGCCATGTTGGCCAGGATGGTCTCAAACTCCTGACCTCAGGTGACCTGCCAGCCTCGGCCTCCCAAAGTGCTGAGATTACAGGCATGAGCCACTACGCCTGGCCAGAGCTTTGCTTTTAAGCATTAACTTCTCCATCAAAGAAACTTACCAGGTGTGCTTTTTCATAGAGACAATAAAGACATATTTTCAAATATATGTGTAATTTACATTAAGTATCTTGTGTGAGTTTCAGGCTCTGAAAGAAGATTTTGTCAGTCTGGAAGTCACTGATAGAATATCCATAAAACAACGTTGAAGTGACAAATATAATCTCTAGGATTACACTATTAGAATCTAAAACACAATTTATTTTACTCATTATCTTTAAAATTTCGTTTTTACTTTCCTCTTTATCCCAAATCACATACACACACACACACACACACACACACACACACACACACACACACATCTTTTGAAAGCAATGATATGCATTGAAACACTTCTTGAATAAAGACCACTAACTAAAATATCTTACAAGCCTGGAAGACTCAAAGAATACCAATTTACTGGTTTTCTTTGGCAAAGATTAATTCTTAATTCTTAATTTTCAGATTTTCAAATTCTTGGCAAGGCTTGCCAAGAATTGGGCCTTGCCTCTGAATAATTGAAACTCAAATAACTCAGAAAATATTTTTAGGAAATAGGTATATCATAAGTAAGATGTTTTCTCATTAAATAAAGACATTTACAAAAGTTTGATTTTGACACAACCCAACCAACTCCTCCTTACATGCTTCATTGCCAATCATCCTTGTTCTACTCCAAACATAGTCCTCTGTCATTTCTGTCCTTTAAGATATTTTTAGAGGATTTTCAATTTTTTTATTTGCCAGCTCGGACCCGAAGTTACAGCCAACTTACCATAAACTTTCTTCTTGGAAAAACAGTGGTGAAATTGCCCATATTCTACATTTCTTGCCTTTACTTCTCATGACCTGTGCAATTATGGTAACTCTTCCTGACTCTTCACATATTAACCTTACATTATCCATATGGATATAACTTTTTTTCTCACCTTTGCCACAAAAATAGCTATAAATGTATTCTCATTGTTTTCATTTGAATAGATGCAAATGAGGAATAAACAAGATTTGACTCTAAATTACATTGAATTGATTTTAAATTAAAACATATCTTTGGAGATTCAATCGTAATCAGTCTTTCACCTTCATGGAAGAGTTGATTTTTCAAATTGGACAAATTCATACTAGTCAATTTTGGATAAAGAAATGTGCCATTAAGCAGGGTAATAGTGTTTTCTGAACCACATGTAGCTTTACTATAAGGTAGTGAAATGAATTCTCTTGAGTGGTCAGTTTCAGATTATCAGTCTCAAATATGTTCATAGTTATGGCTATTGAGAGAATATACATATATGCTCTTTCCTACCCAAATGGCTAGTGTTAAGAACACTGATGATTTTTAAGTTTTGGCTGCCTTTAAAATATTTATTATTTTATACCCTTGCCTTGTATACTGATGTAAACACTGTAATACAGAGACCAATTAATTTAAAAAGTCCTTCCGCGCAAGCCATAACTCACTCTCAGTCATCTGTATTTGTAAATAAAGTTTTATTGGAACACAGGCATTCCCTTTCATTTACATATTGTTCAGGGTTGCTTTTGGGCTACCACAACAGAGTTGAGTAGTTGCAAGAAAGGGAGGATGTCTCATAATTATTTACTATCTATCTCTTTATGAAAAAAATTTCCTAATTCCCATTTTAATAAGTACTAGGTTGATGATAATGTCTTTAAGAATGGTAAATCAAATAGTGATTAGTTACATAATAATGGTACCTTATGGTAATAATAGATTAAGATTCTTAGGCTTCTCTGGCGATCTGGATGACTCTCCCGGGAACTCTAGACAAGGCTGTTCCCCTGTGCCCTTAGTCACTCAGGTGAAAAAAATTGCATTTCTTTGCTAGGGAAAACCAACCAATTAGCTAACAAAAACCCTGAGGTTCTTTCTTTCATGTCTATTGATTGTGGTAAAATTGGTGGTCTGATTAACAGCTAATTTATTCCTTATTTTCTCTTATTCAAGCCATGTACTGTTGAGGAGGGCTTATCAGCATTACAGCACAGACGTATATTCAACTCAAGCTCAGGGGAAGTGTGAAATATACATACATACATATACACATATATATTATACATGTATACACATATATAAAGAAAAACTTAAAATGAAAAAGTGAGAATTTAAAAAAAAACACTTTTTTAATCAACAGTTTGATTCCAGGAGGCACTACAAATTTTATGAAGACATAAAATAGGAAAAGTATCAAATAAATCAGAAAATAATACAGAAGAGTAAAAGAACTCTTTTGGTGAAGTTAGTGCACACAAATGTATTACCAAGGCCTCCTGCAAAACTGTACAAACTAAGCGATAAATTTAGATATAAGCTTCACAGCTACCAAAGGAAAGAAAAACAATAATTATTTATATGATGAACATCGTCTTGTTGTGACATGCCTGTCCCACATTGCTTTAGCAAATAGAAAGAATGTTTTTGAAGCAGAACTTGATGTTATGCCAACTAGGACTGGCTACGTAATTTGTGGAGCACAATGCAAAATGAAAATGCCATGTCTGTTGCTTAAAATTATTAAGATTTTCAAGATTGCAACAGCAGAGCATTACACTAAGAATGACCCTAGTAGGTGAGAGGTTGGTTCGACTAACAAGTAGCACATCCATGAAGCTGACTCTGATACCCACAACTTATTCTGAGGAAAGTCACCAGGACAGGTCATGTTAATCTTACAACTGTTGTCATCAGCATCAAGAAAAATACTCATTCAGTGCTTAATTTGTGCAGTTCCTATTGTAGTGAACTCTTAAAACAATTTCATTTTATTCTTCCACTAAGCCAATCAGGTGGGTAGTATTGTTAGATCAATATTATGAGGAAGGAAATCATTGAACAGTATGTCCATAATTTCACATAGCATGGTTCTTTTTTTAAATAAACACGTTCAGAGGAAATTTCTCTCAGAGATAATTTCAAGAGAAGACATTCTAGAGAGTTAAAATGTTGAGATTATCAAATAAGACTTTCCAGATTCCCAAATCCATGATCTCAGCAACTTTATTGACTATCTACTGCCTTTTGATATTATTGTATAGGGACTATATTCGCAATGCTATGTTCTCAGTACTCTTTTGAGTTTTGGCTAAATCGTGATAAATAAGACACAGTTCCCTGTAGTTCAGAGTCTAAAGGAGCCTGGGTGAGTAGAAAAGAAGCAATTAAACAAATTACTAAATTAAAATTTAGGTAAGTGCTTTGAAGGCAATAAATAGGATTTTGTTATTATGGTTAATTGAAAGTACTTCAGATGCAGTGGATGAACTTTATGTATACTGCATCTCTGAAGAACTGTTTGAACTGGGCATCAAAGGATGAAAATAAGCCAGACACATGAAATTCTGGTACAATAATTCTACAGGTTGAGGAACATCTTGCGCAAATGCTCTGCAGAGTATAAGTGTAAAATTGTATAAGCTTCAAGTATTTGAGAACATTCTATGTAGAACAAAATGAGGTTAGAATTGTGTGCTGAGGAAAACATCATGCAGGATCATATAGGCCATGATCATTTAGTTTTGTTTTAAATGCAAAAGGAAGCCACTGAAATATTATTCATCATGCAGACTGACATAATGAGGTGCATATTCACCAAGTATGACTCCAACAACTATTTGTTGATGAGATGGAGTAAAAGAAAGAGTATAAAAATTAAGGTGCTATTTAGATTAGGGCATCGGCTCAAGGGGGCTGGAGTAGAGATGAAGACAAGTGGACTAATTTGAGGGAAGTTTATGATATAAACCATGAACTTTGGGATTAATTGGCTATGCGGAATACAGGGAATAGAGGGAAGCAAATGCTCTCCTCTCATAGCATTAGCACATAGGACGCTGGGTTTTGGGAGGAGGAAAAAAAGAGATTGATTCAGGAATAAAAAATTTTTCTTGCCACATGTTAATTTGGACATTCCCATGGTACTTCCAAGTACAGATGCCAAGAAAGCAGTCAGATGTACACATCTCATGCTCAGAGAAAAGATCAACCCCAGGGATGTAAAGCGGTTTCATCATGACATCCATGACACTGAAAATAATTCAAGTGAATGGGATCTCCAGGGAATGGAGTCTAGCCTGAAGAGAGAATCTAGCCCTTAATTTAAGTCCTGAAAACCTTATTTTGTGGAGTCTGATAGAGCAGAAAGATACTAGAAAACTAGATATACTAGATATGCTAGAATATACCAGCAAATTAAATTAAGAAAAAATGATCTATAAAGTAGGAAGAAAACTTAGGCGAGTATGGAGTCATAGAATCCTACAGGAAACAATAACGTCCTGCCTTCCTCAGAGAGTTTTTCTGGTAGCCTTAGACCTTCTTGGGCACAGCATTTATGGCAGTTACGTCTTATTGTTTTCTGAATACAGTCTAGTTCATTCCAATAGCCTGTTTGGTTGTTTCCAAATCTAGTGCTTCATTGTTTTGGTGATTCAGCTGCGCTCTGATCTACCCTTCACATTATTAACAGGCCTCTTCTCATCTGATTCACTTTATAGCATAATTTATTATTTCACCTGTTATTTAATTATTACTTACTGCCTTAAGAACTTGACTAATTACCATGTTTTGTGGGCCTCTCTGCCTCTATCATCTTGACTTTATCTGCATATATCTCAATTCAAATGATCTAAGACACTTGATGTGATACTTTCAGTTTATATTGTTTTAGCATAGAGAAATCACTACTCTTCAAATTGCTCATTCTAAGCCACCTCACTAGAGGTAAAAACGGTGAGGTTCTAAGGTGCAAAGCTTTTCTGATGCAAAATGAGTCACTTTTTTTTTTTTATTCTTCTGAAAATATTTTAGAAAATTGAGTTTACAAGCAATACCTTGATAGGAACTGTGGCTTCAGTTGTGTGAAATGTGGAGGTGGAAAAATAATGACAGTGATAAGGCAGACTACTCTGGAGAGACTAACAGTAAGAGTAGGAGAACAAAACATCAGAGTCTGAAGGATTTGTGTTGGAGATCCTGTTAAGGAGGGCCTTGACAAAGAGGAAATTGAGTTTTATTTTCAATGAGCATATTAATGGTGACCTACTAGTTATAGATGATTGTGTTTCATAAAATAATTTGGAATTGTCAATAACTGATCCTTATCTCATTTCTATTGGAGTGGTGAAATCTTTCTCTAAGATGTCCTCATTGGATTCAGTTCTAATTAAGAGTGCCCTCTTGTGATCATTTTCTAGATGTCTCCTAATAAATGTACATTTGTAAATTGTGCCTTGGTATCCTTCATGCATTAACTAATCTCCAGAAAATGCGTTGTGTAAACCCAGTATTTACGTGTAATGCACATTTTGTTTTTTAGTACATTTGAATTTTGTTTCATTGTAACAAGAAAAATAATTTCAACTTTTAACTGAATAAAGATGACAGATAAACTAGCACTTGCCCATTGGTCAATTTCCATGCATATATTTATCCTATTAAATTTCTATAGGAAATAGTCTGTAAACTTATCTACACTTACACACATACCTTGATGTGACAAGTATGGAAGTCATCATTGTATTCATAAAACCTTACAATTTAAAAAGTTTAATCTTCGATACTGACTTAGAACCAAGTGCTTAGGTGAGTTATGTAAGTGACAGAATGATTTGACTTTTTTTTGGTCAGAAATATAATGAATTGGATTCATCCAGTAGCGGCTTCTTATTAAACACATATTTGTAGTTGATATTTAGAAATATATTATGAAGTCCCTAGATTCCTGACTTTGGATTGCTTAACCAACTCAAGTTCTCTGACTACATATATGTAAAATCTTCTATACTGCCTCAGAAAAACAGAAGAAACAAAGACAATAGACATTATGTTGATAAGATGTCTAATCTATGCTAAAATCTTTCCACTTTATTTTGCCTTCACAAAAACTCTATTAGGCAAATCTTATTATTTCCATTATACTGATAAGGAAACTGAGGTATGGAATAATTGAAGAGCTTGCATATTGTATTACTAATAAGTCAAAGAATTGAAATTCAGTTCCCACCCTGGCTGACTACTGTACTGAAATTACAGAATAAAATTGCAGTTGCTTAGAACCAGATAACAATCAATGCAGATGAATTTTTTTTGCTTTTAATAGAAGGCAATTGTATGTAATAAATAAAATTTTCAATATTAATGTTATGAAAGATTGACTTAAAATGACAATTTTTAGAAAGGCCATATACTATGAACAAGATAGGGGTAGAAAAAACAAAAGTTATCCATGGGTAAACTTGAACAATTTTGAGAAAGAAAATGGCTCATCAAAGATGACTTTCCATCTTGTATCTCCATTAACTTTCTCTCCGACACACAGGATTAAACATATTTGGCAGGAACTTTTAATGATGGCTGGTAGAGAACAGATGATATTATTTATTATGTGAATTATACAATTTAGAGAGATGGCATACTGGGGCTATTTCATAAATGTCCAGTTTGGGAAAGTGAAGTCTAGATACTTGAAGCATGGTTATTTTTTGCCAATGTCATACTGAAATAGAAAGACAATAGATTTCAGGATGCATATCTCTAGGCGATCCCTCAGCACGTTGAGGTGCTCAATAATGTGTTTCACTATTTTAGTGTTAAAGTATCTATGGTTGCTGTAGAGTAAAGCATATGTGGCTTTTAGAAGTCAGTACCATTGGGAAGCATTTCAGATAGCTGTGGAAGCTATTTTATATTGTATCATTTATTTATTCATAAACCTGTCCTTCCAATTCTCTGTTAAGGAAATTGAGCTTGATGTAGCATATTATGACTGTAAAGATAGTACTCAGTGGAATTTTTTCTTTTTTTTGAGACAGAGTCTTGCTCTGTCACCCAGGCTGGAGTGCAGTGGCACAATCTCAGCTCACTACAGCCTCCGCCTCCTGGGCTAAAGCAATTCTCCTGCCTCAGCCTCCCAAGTAGCTGGGATTACAGGCGCACGCCACCACGCCTGGCTGATTTTTGTATTTTTAGTAGAGACGGGGTTTCACCATGTTGGCCAGGCTGGTCTCGAACTCCTGACCTCGTGATCTACCCTCCTCGGCCTCCCAAAGTGCTGAGATTACAGGTGTGAGCCACTGCACCTGGCCGGAAAAAAATTTTTAATGACTGTTTGTTATTTTAGTAATTCCTTTGAATTCCTGGTATTCCTTTAGTAATACTAGTGGCTGGTATTACTCAATTCATAAATGAGCACTATCATATTGTTCTTTCTGTAAATTGTAGCATATTCCAATCAACCCTGCAAAGATATTTTAGACCATGAGATTTTTAACACTAGAACTAAGGAACACAGAGCTTGAGTCTCCCGTCATTGAGAGGAACACATGTTCCGTGGGTGGAATGGAGAGTTGCCTCTGATTCCAGTTTCTCCTTAACTTGAGAAACAGCACAATTCTCCAAGAAATCCATGCCCTGTCAGCATGCCTTTCAGCATCTTTTCTTCCCCAAGGTCCAAAAAGTCAAAATCCAGGATCTGCAAACTAATCTTTCAGTCCCCAGATGTCCTCGGGGTACATGTTGCTCTTATCTACCACTTCCTGAATGTGCACATCTCTGTTAAGTGCTTCTCAGTTATGGGAATAAATTAAATGTCCTGGCATTTAATTTGCTCACAGGGTCCTCACAGAGGAACAGTGCAGGTGCCCCCAGGAGAGTTTTAGCAATGTAGAATCTCAGACCCCAATCCATACCTACTGAATCAGAATCTACTTTTTAATATGGTCCCCAGGTGATTCATGTTCAAATTAAAATTTGCGAAGCGCTAGTAATGTACCTATGGAAAAAACACATGTAAATGTGAACTCTAATGCTAACAAATGCAATGAAAGAATTCTTCATGCCACCTTTGTGCCCTCATCTTTTATCCAACCTCTACTCTATCCTCTAACCATTCCCTCAGAATTACTTCTACTAACCACTTCTTGATATATTGTTCATTTTGAAAAGATTTATCCCTTGAGCTGGCTCCATCTGTTACGTTCACTTAATTATTTCTTGATTGAGTTATTTCCCCCCTTTGAATCCCCTCTTGCTAACTTCACCATTGGTCCCTGCCTCACACCTCTGGATATTTCCTGGAGGTCACTATATCTTTTCCCCATGGATATAATTTGCAATATGATTTCTTTTCCTAGTTATGCTCTTACATTGCAATAACTCACTATAAGAACAAACCGTGGGGCTTCTGTACTTCCAAAATTTATTAATTAAACAGCTATCTAAAGCAGACTCCGATCTAGAGTCTGGTATCCACAAGGAGTCACAGCTAGCAGTAGGGCCAAAGGACTAATAAACAAAGACTCAGTTTTAATGTTTTTGATGTGCTAAATCCGTAATTGTTGTAACATTCCTTAACAATCCCCTTCTAAAAGTAACAGGAAAAAGAATTAAGAACACAGGGTATTTGAAAATTTTATTTAATGAACTTGAACTAGTATATGAGTATTTTGACACTAGACAGGCTATGGAATACTAACTTACAGACACATCAAGAATATTCATGTTGTTTGATTATGCACAAAGCTGACAATAAATCTTTAAAAAAATTAAACAAGTATTCCCATGTAGTTTGCAGTAACTGATCAAAGCATAATGACATAAGATATCAAGAAAAAAGTTATTTTAAAAAAATTTGTGTATCTGAAAATTCTGCCAAGAAATTATCTTAAAAAAGAAATCAAAGTAGAATCTATTTAGGATGAAAATATAAGCTTCTACCTGTCACAATCCAAAGGGAAAAAAGCCAAAATCATACTTACAAAGAAAGCATACATCCAAATATATGAATTAAAAAGCAAAATGAATTGTATTAATAAAATAAGCTTTAGGTGTAAATAGAAAAAGATTAAAGACCTATTTAAAATCAATAGCAGGAAGAAATGAATTAATATTAAAAACAGAAATCAATGCAATTAAAAAGCAAACAAGAAAAGAACACTAGAATTGTTGATTAATGCAATGAATTGTAGTTCTTTGAAAATATTAATGAATAACTTAAGATTTGGCAAGCCTGGCCAGGTGCTGTGGCTCAGGCCTGTAATCCCAGCACTTTGGGAGGTCAAGGCAGGTGGATCACCTCAGGTGGGGAGTTTGAGACCAGCCCAGCCAACATGGTGAAACCCTGTCTCTACTAAAAATACAAAAATTAGCCGGGCATGGTGGTGCATGTCTGTAATCCCCTCTACTTGGGAGGCTGAGGCAGGAGAATCACTTGAACCCGGGAGTTGGAGTTTGCAGTGAGCTGGGATCGTGTCAGTGCACTCCAGGCCTGGGTGACAGAGCAAGACTCCGTCACACACACACACACACACACACACACACATACACATACACACACACACACACACACACACATGCATGCAAAAATAAAAGAAGATGAGAGAAAAAAGAGAAAGGGCAAAAATATGCAAATCAAGAATATTAGCAATGATAATAATAGCACAGAAAAAAGTATGAAGCAAAATAATGCTGCTAAAGGTGTTTGAAAAATAACAAAAATTTGTGCGATTTCCACTTTGATTTTTAATGTATTTATTTCAAACTGAGTAAGTAGAATAATACCTACAAATTGCAAAATTGAAATAGGAGTAAATATCCTAGCTTCCCAAAAGGTACCTATCACCAGAATTATGGGAAGATTCTCTAAGGTTTGAAGGATATTTCTCATCTGTGTTAATCAGCTCGGGCTACTGTTACCCATTAGCCAGTTCCGAAGCCTCTTCCACATTTTTAGGTATCTGTCACAGCAGTATTTGGTTACTCAGTTCTTTGTCACACAACTTCTTGGTACTAAAATCTGTATTAGTCAACTTGGACTACCATACAATACTACAGATGGTGGTTTAAACAACAGAAATGCATTTTTCACAGGTCTGGAGCCTGGAATACTGAGGTGAGGATTTCAACATGGTTAGTTTCTGGTGACGGATCTTTTCCTGGCTTGTAGATGGTGGCCTTTTTACTGTGTTTTCACAGCCTCTTTCCCTTGCTCATGCATGCAGAGAGAGAGAGTCAGCTTTCTGGTGTCTCTTCTTGAAAGGACACCGATCCTATTGGATCAGGGCCTCAGTCCTATTACTTCACTTAACCTTATTACGTCCTTATAGAGCATATGTCCAAATATAGTCATATTAGATTAGGGATTCACCATACAACTTTGGGGTAGGGGGGATGACCCAATTCAGTCGATAGCATTCCCACCATGGGCCTTCAATATTAATTTACTTCTTGTATTCAAAATTCATTCATTCTGTCCCAACAGCTCCAAAGCCTTAAATTGTTTCAGCATCAACTCTAAAGTTTAAAGTCCAATGTCTCATCTAAATACCATCTAAATCAGATATGAGTGAGACTCAAGATGCAGATTCATCCTGAGGCAAAAATTTCTCTCCAGCTGTGAACCTGTGAAAACAGACAAGTTATATGCTTCCAAAATACAGTGTGGGAAGGCATAAGATAGGCATTCCCATTCCAAAAGATAGAAATTTAAAGGAAGGAAGTGATGGATCAAAACAACTCTGAAACCCAACAAGGCAAATTCCATTAGCTCTCTAGGCTTGAGAATAACCCTCTTTGATTCAGTGTTCTGCCTTTTAAGCCCAATGAGGTGACCTCAGCACCCCCATGTGTCTGCAGGTTGGCCCTACCCACAAAGCTCTCTGTGAGGTCCTCTTGGTCTTCCAAAATAGAGGAGGGGGTAGCCTTGCTTCTGGGCTCTGGTGTGAGTGGCAGCCCTGATGATCTCTGATCAATCCCTTCTTGAGTCACTCTTCCCTTTCTAGAAAGATAAAGCATTTTTACAGATGAATACCTCTTTCATCCTTCCCTGTTACCTATAGTCCAAACTAGGTATTGCTGCTGCCTTGGTCTAAAATGACAGTCTTTCTGCTGATATACTAATTCCATTCCTATCTTCTGATGAGGCTGCTATTTAAATTTATGGCTTAAAATAAAATAATCTTTTTATCAAATGGTTGTTTAGCCACATCCTTTGTATTCCCTTAAAAACAAACTTTCACTTTTTACAATATGAACGGGCTGAACATTTTTTAAATCTTTAAGCGTGGTTATTTTTGCTTAACAGTTTCTTTTTCAATTCATTTCTATCCTTTCACATTTTAATATAAGCAGTAAGGAGGATTCAGGCTTTGTCTTCAACATTTTCTTTAGAAATCTCCTCAGGTAAATAACTGAATTCATGGTTCATAAGTTTTATCTTCCGCAAAACACTAGAACACAATTCAGCCAAATTCTTCGCCTCTTTCTAATAGGGATTGCCGTTTCCCAATTTCCCAATGACCTCATCCTCATTCTTATCCACGACCTCACCAGAAAGGCCTTTAATGTCTACATTTTTACCAACATTCTATTCATGAGTCTTGGTATTTTTCAACTTTTAAGTTCAGGGTACATGTGCAGGATGTGCATGTTTATTACATAGGCCAATGTGTGTCATGGGGGTTTGTGGTAGGGATTATTTTATCACCTAGGTATTAAGCCTAGTATTCATTAGTATTTATGTTTGTTTAAGAAGATGGAGGATTTTTCTATGGTTCTCCTTTATTTTTTTTCCTGGATCCTCATTAGAATTGCCTTTAATATCTACATTTCTAGCAAAAACCTCTTCAGTGCAATCAAAGCTTCTACTATGCACCTCAAAACTCCTCTAGCCTCTGGCCATTTTCCAGTTCTGAGGAGTCTGCCATGTTTTGAGGTGTTTATTACAGTGGCACCCCACTTCTCAGTACCAAAATCTCTATGAATTAACTTGGGTTACCCAACATAATATCACAGACTAGGTAGTCTAAGTAACAGAAATTTATTTTATTAAAGTTCTGGAGCCTGGAATTCTGAGATCAGAGTGTCAACATGGCCAATTTCTGGTGAGGGCTCTCTTTTTCTCAGTGTTTGCTTACATAGAGAAAAAGAAAGTGAGCTCTCTTGTGTCTCTTCTTATAAGAACATTAATTTTATTGAATGAGGGTCCCATCCTTTTGGCCTCATTGAACCTTAATTACCTCCATATAGGCCCTACAACAGTCACGTTAGTAGTCAGGGCTTCAATATATAATTTAGAAGGGGACACAATTTAATCCACAGCATTATATTACACAAATGTTTTGAAAAAGAAAGGAAGGTTACCCAAATATTCTATAAGGATAGAGTACCTATAATAACAAAATTAGAGAAGTAGGGTAGAAGTTTATATTTAAAAGGGTTTCGAGATACTGAAAATTTTGACACTGAATAGTAAACACATAAGGTTTCTTTACATTTTTTAGTTGATTTTACAGGTTTCAATTTTTCTGCAATAAAATTAGTAAACATGAAAACTAGAGATAAAAAAGAAAACAAATTATAGATCATTATCATTTTTTTCAGACTGATTTCCCCAGGAAGTAGATTCTGGGATAGAGTTTGTGAAGTCGATTAGAGAATGAATTGAGAGGACTACCTATGGAAGAAGGTGGGAAAAACAGGGTTTTGAGAGACAGAAAGAGAGATAATGAGCTGTAATATACACCTGAACACAAATTCAGGTAAATTGATGAGGTTCTATTACAATGCAATAATCATAGAAATAAAGTGCACAATAAATTTAATGTGCTTGAATCATCCTGAAACCATTTGCTCCACCCCCGTGCCCCTAGTCCACGGAAAAACTGTCTTCCACAAAATTGTCTCCCTGGTTACAAAAAGGTTGGGACCACTGCTGTAGTGGTCTAAAACGTCCTGGCCTTTATATGCTTCCCTCTATTACTTATTGCATGTGAGCTGCTTGAGAGGGGTGTGATCTTGGGTGAGTGACTCTGAAATTCAGATAATCCCTGAGGGCTTGACGGCTGAAGGCTATTTGCTAACATCACTCCCGGAATCTGAGCAACACACTTCTCTTTGAAAGAACAGTGGGTGGCACATCTTCATGCCCATTACATAGTCCTTCTTTTGTGACCACTGAACCCATTTTTATATGTACTTTAAAAATTATTAATTGACAAATCATAATTATATATTTTATGAAGTAAAACTGGTTATGATATATGTATACAATGTAAAATGATTAAATCTAGCTGATTAATATATCTATCTGATATGGTTTGGCTGTGCCCCCACCCAAATCTCATCTTGAATTTGTAGTTCCTATAAGCCTCACCTGTCATGGGAGACCCCTGGTAGGAGGTAGTTTAATCGTAGGGGCAGTTATTCCAATGTTTCTGTTCTTGTGATAGGGAGTGAGTTGTCACGAGATCTGACGGTTTCATAAGGGGCTATTCCCCTTTTGCTTGGCACTTCTCCTTGCTGCTGCCATGAGAAGAAGGACATGTTTGCCTTCCCTTCTACCACGATTGTAAGTTTCCTGAGATCTCCCCACCCTGCTGAACTGTGAGTCAATTAAACCTCTCTCCTTTATAAACTAACCAGTCTCAAGTACGTCTTTATTAGCAGCATGAGAATGGACTAATACACTATTACTTCAAATGTTTATTATTTTTTGTGGAGAGAACATTTGAAACTTAGCAATGTTGAAATACAAAATACATAATTATTTATAGTATCAATACTGTGCAGATCTCAAAAAATATATTATTTCTCTCTAACTAAAACTTTGTACCATCTGACCAATATCTTCTCATTTTCCGCACTGCCCAGCCTCTGGCAACCACCATTCCACTCTCTGCTGCTACGAGCTCGATGGTTTTAAATTTCCCATATTAGTGTAATGCTATGGTATTTGTCTTTCTGTGCCGGGTTTATTTCACTTAGTGTAATGTTCTCCAGATTTACCCATATTGTCATAAATGACAGAATTTCCTGTTTTTTCAAGACTGCATAGTATTCTATTGTTACATATGCCACCTTTTCTTTATTATAGAAAACTGTATGAAAGTTCCTCGAAAGGCTAAAGTAGAACTTCCATATGATCCAGCAATCCAATCCCACTGCTGGATATATATTCAAAGTATGTGAAATCAGCATGTCAAAGAGAGATCTATACTTCTGTGTTTATTGTAGCATTATTTATGATTGCTAGGACATGGGTCAACCTAAATGTACACAATTGTATATTCTTTGGAGAAGTAGCTCCTCCAGTGTTCAGGTGGGCCTCCCTTTCTGGGGTAAAGGTAGCAGGAAGAAAGACACGTCCATTGTTTCGGCTGACATTGGCACTGCAATAGATACTATACATTGTCTATTTCCTCTGCTATCTAACCAGATGCTTCTCAGCTTCAGCTAACAACTTCTTTGTCTCACTTCAGACTCTGAATCAAACCATCAATCTTGAGGTACAGGAGACACTGATTATCATGTCATTTTCAGAGTAGAATTCCTGAACAAATCTGTTTAGCAACACAGTCGGGCAGGGAAGTACAAAAGGACTACAAGGTGCACTATCTATGTTTCATTATATTACCAATGCTACCATGTTTTAACAGTAGTTTCTTCTCTTTATGATGATCAGGATCACTTTTACATATAAGAACATTTTCTTATTGCCTACTTGTCCCTGAACATAAGGAACCCACAGCATCTTCCAGAAAGCTATAAAGTTCAATGGGTCTCTTTTGTTTTCTGGTGGAAGTTTTTCCCCTTTTATGGCCCACAACCTCGAAACCTATAGAACGAATGTTGAAGGACAGAAAGTACACATTCTCCAAGTGAACCATGGAGAGTGATCTTAAACAGGGATCCTTCTTTCATCCTGTGGTTCATGGAACCATACATTTTCTTCCTATGGAAAACATCATACTTTAAAAGGGTTTTTTATTCACTATGTATGCTGAATCCTGGAGGATGGCTTCCCATTATTGCAGAATATCACTTCTGAGCTAGTGTCTCAAATGTGCTTTCAGTAAATTGTGTCAACCATCTATTAGACTGCAAGCTTCTTGGCAGTTGATATGGGATACAGTTAATGAGTCTCATAGTCTGGGGCCTACTTCAACCCTTACTTTTGTGAAAAATGGTCCCTTTATGCTGTGTAATGCGGGATCTTAGGCCAATAAATGAGAATTTTGCAAACCTCAGATAATCATGCTGACTAGGATCATGTAGGCAGAAAAAAAACAAATCCATACCTGGTAAAGCTGTCAACCCCTGTTTGAATAAGCCATTGAAGCACAATAAAGTCAAGTCTCCAAACTGTGCTTCATTGATTTTCTCGAGGAATATTAGCATTTTGGGGCTCAATATTTGTCTCAGTTTAAAGGGCTTCAACTCTAGTATATTTATCTCACATATGAAAGTACCACTCTTACCCAAAGGTTGCCGTCTTTGGCATAACCAAATTGTGTTGACCTGCAGCTTAAGATGAAAATAAGTCTTGAACCTAGTCCTCAATTTGCCTGCCTTCTTACTGTGGGAGATCATAACCGACTTGGACTCAGAAGAGTTCTTCACTTTCACACTTGACATAAAATTGCTTCTTAATTACTTTTGTCTTCCATTATCTTTGTGACTCACATCAGCTTAGTATATCATGTCTATGCAATTCTATTATCTTTATAGTTAATATATCCCTCATATTTTTCAAGTATCTGGCACATCTCTCAACTAATGTATTTTCTTGCATGGTATACTATCCAATTCCCCAACAATGGTAGCCCACCACCATCTATGTTCCAGTTACTACCAGTAATGGGCTCCTCAATTTCAATGTGATATTGAGTGACCCAGATCCTATATATTACCTCATCACCTTTTTCTCAGACAACTGAAACCATCTCTTACAGGTTGAACTTTCCGAGAAGCAGACCTTGAGTTGGAGATTGCTGTGTAGAATGTTGCTTAGGGAGTGCCCTTGGAATCAACACCTGTAAAAAGAATGGGAAAGAAATGGATTTGCAGAGTAAAAGGTTCAGTTGTGAAGAACACCTATCAATAGGTTCAGCTAATATCCAGGGGACACTCTGGAACTAAATGGCTCGCCTGAATTGTTTCATAGTGACCCCACATGGCCAAGCCTTTTAACTCCTGCCACTGTCAGTCATGGGGTAGGGGTCAGCCTTCACCCCTAGAAGAACTGTATTATTGGGTGAGGTGATTGATTCTGAAGCTGAGGTGGTTCATAAAGGAACTGACTGAAGACTTCCAGCATCAGGTTAAAAGGATTGGGATTGGGTAGTTGCATATCCATATCCACCACTATCACATATGTGCTTAGCCACTGACATAAGAAATTTGACATTCCAAATACTAAAGACTAAAAACAACACGTAGATCCTGCAAATCTCGGCTGGGCGCGGTGGCTCACGCCTGTAATCCCAGCATTTTGGGAGGCCGAGGCGGGCGGATCACGACGTCAGGAGATCGAGACCATCCTGGCTAACACGGTGAAACCCCGTCTCTACTAAAAATACAAAAAATTAGCCCGGCGAGGTGGCACACGCCTGTAGTCCCAGCTACTGTGGAGGCTGAGGCAGGAGAGTGGCGTGAACCCAGGAGGCGGAGCTTGCAGTGAGCCGAGATCATGCCATTGCACTCCAGCCTGGGCAACAGAGCAAGACTACGTCTCAAAAAATAAAAAAATTAATTCCTGCAAATCTCTATTTCATATCAGATTTCATTGAGTAAGTCAAGATAGTCCACCATGAGAAAATATATGATATAATTCGCCATTTTGAGTAATGGAGAAAAATAATATGAATATCTCAATGATGTCAAAATAACACGTGGTATATAATACTTGTTCTGTATTTTAACAAGCATCAAACACATAACAATTAAAAAATAAAAATGTAAAATATTTTTCCAACTTGATAAATTACACATTCACAAGAAAACTACAGTACACATATGTCTGTTTGTAAGATATTACAAGTTCTCCCATTACATTTTCAACAGTATTTAATTTCTATATGCGACAATGCAATAAGAATGTAAAAAATAAATAAAAAGTCAATTATAATGTCAAAATGTTAATATGGGTAGATGATGCAAATGTCTACATAGAAATTCTAAGATAATCGGCTAACAAATTATTTAAACTAAAATATTCTTATTACTTCATTAACCAAATAGAAATGTAAATAGAAAAATAGATTGTATTCACAATAGAATAGTGATGTAGTAAATATTTGGCATGTAATTAAAATATAACACTTATATTTTAGATGCAAACTTCGAAATCTTTTTTTTTTTTTTTTTTTTTTGAGTTGGAGTCTCGTTCTGTTGCCCAGGCTGGAGTGCAGTGGCATGATCTCAGCTCACAGCAACTTTCACCCCCCGAGTTCAAGCTATTCTCCTGCCTCAACCTCCCGAGTAGTTGAGATTACAGGTGCCCACCACCACACCTGGCTAATTTTTGTATTTTTAGTAGATATGGGGTTTCGCCATGTTGGCCAGGGTAGTCTAGAACTCCTGACCTCAGGAGGTCCGCCAGCCTCGACCTCTCAAAGTGCTGAGATTACAGGCATGAGCCATCGCACCCGGCCTATATTCAAATCTTTAAGGATATAATGTTTTTAAGGAATTTAAGATATTCCCTGAAAAAGGAGATAACTGGGTCATAGATTAAAATTACTTTTAAAATTATTAATTTAAAAGCAATTATTCTAATATATATAAATATATATTTAGAGACCAGGTCTCCCTTTGATGCTGAGGCTAGTCTCCAACTCCCAGGCTCAAGCAATTCTCCCACCTCAGCCTTCCAAGTACCTGGGACTATAGGTGCCAACTATTTTTATATCATTATATTTATGTGTAATTAAAAACAAAAAGCCTTCCCTAGTATGCATAGAAATTAAGAAAATAAGAAAATACACACATGTATAGACACACACACATACGTATATACACACATTTACATAGTCCATTTAAAGATTTTATGTGAACAAAATCCTTAAATCATGGATAAATAAGTTTTACATCAGAATGCACAAAAAGCACAAAAGGTAAACATTACAAACCAGAAGAAAATAAATGCATTATGAAAAGAAGTCTGAGGATAAATAGCTAGAATATATAGATGTATGTAAGCAAAAGAAAAGAAATAAAAATAAAAACCTAGTAAGAAAAATGAACAAAGGTAGGAGCAAATAATTCAGAAAGAAAGAAAAAAAACACGGAAATAAGGAAATCTTGTCAGTCACACAAAAAATAGAAATATGCAAATTAAAATATTACAAAAAACATTATTTCAATATCAGATAAGGACAATAAAAATGTTTGATAATATCAAGTATGAGCAACGTGGGGGGAAAGTGAGAACTCTAAAAAAAACTGGTGGCAATGTATCTTCATAAGTCTCATTGGAGGGCATCTTGACTGCATTTATATTCATAAGTAAAATGCACTTGATCAAAAGCCTACTTCTTGGTTCATACAATAGACAAATATTTACACAGATAATCTACATGTACTGCCAGGTTTAGATTCCAAAATATATTGCAAGTAAGAACATGAGTTGCAGAAAAGTAAGTACATTATGACACCATTTACTGAAAACTAATGAAGAAGTCAGCATTATATATTTTATAAGACCAGATTGAAAAATGATCAGCAATAAAATGATCAGCAAATTGATAGTTTCTGGAGAATGGAGTGGATGGGGGTTGAGAGTTAGAATAAATGGAATCGGCTATACATTTTTTAGGCTATGGATTCATGTTTCATTTATGTAATTAAAAGAAATAAGACAGTATCCATAAAAACGAAGAAAAATAATAGTAAAAGAGAACACCTAGGATTTGGAAGAGAGGTAAAGTTTAGAATAAATCATGAGAGCATGTATTTTCTCCCATTCTGTGGAAGAGACAGCAGACAGACAGGAGAAAATGTTTGCAGATTTTCCCACCTGACAAAACATTAATAACCAGAATATATAAGGAGCTCAAACAACTCAATAGAAAAAAAAATTTGATTAACATGGACAAATAGACATTTCTTAAAAGAAGACATACAAATGGCCAACAGGTATATGAAAAATGCTTAATATTATTAATCATTAGAGAAATGCAAATCAAAATTGTAATGAAACATTATGTCACCCCATTTAAAATAACTTTCATCAAAAAGGCAGGCAAGTACAGATGCTGATGAGGATGTGAAGTAAGGGAAACCCTCGTACACTATTGGCAGGAATGTAAATTAGTGCTGCCTCTATGGAGAACAGTATAGAGATTTCTCAAAAAACTAAAAATTGAACTATCATATGATCCAGCAATGCCACTTCTGGGCATGTGCAAAGGAGAATACATGAGTATATTAAAGAGATACCTACAATCCCACATGTTTTTGCAGCACTATTCACAATAGCCAAGCTATGAAATCAACCTAAGTGTCCATCGTCAGATGAATAGATTAAAAACAATGAAATAAATATACACAATGCAATATTATTCAGCCATGAAAAGAAATAAAATCCTGTCATTTGCAACAGCATCAATGGAACTGGAGGACATTATGTTAAGTGAAATAAGCCAAACACAGAAAGACCAATGTCTCATGTTCTTATGCATATGTGGGGGCTAAAAAAATAATTGAACTCAACGAGCTAGAGAATAGAATGATGGTTACCAGAGACTGAATAAGGGTAGAGGGAAGGGGGATAAGGAAGGGATGATTAATAGGGACAGAAATACAGTTAGATGGAAGAGATAAGATTTAGTATTCAGTAGCACAATAGCGCTACTATAGTCAACAATAATTTGTTGTATATAAAATTGGAATGTTTCTAATACAAAGAAATAATGAATGCCTGAGGTAATGGAAACCCTGATCATCCTGATTTTATTATTACTCATTGTGTGCTTACATCAAAACATCACCTGTACCTTATAAATATGGACAACTATTATGTATCCATTATTTAAAATAATTTTTTTAATTAAAAATGAGAGCAATAAAAGCTGAGATAAGAAACAATTTAAAAAATAGAATACACTAAATTGATTCATGCTTAGAGATGGGGGAAAGAAATTGTGTTAATAGGACATAAATTGCTTTAAAGTATGGGATCCAGGAAAAGAGCACTTGGTTGTCAAATATCCGAATGTGGGGATGTCTCACAAAATACACGGAGAGAAAATTTAATTTATGTGATGTCCTCAGTCTAACTGATATCACCTATTCAATCTGTAGCTAGAAAAGGTTTGGATTTATGTGTTATGAAGTCTCCTACATACAACTAAAACATTGACTATGTCAGTATCTACGCATGTTTAAAAGTTGTCTGCTCCTCATCATTTGTACTCAACCTCACACTGTGAATAAAGTGGCAGGCTTCCCTCTAAAGGCTACTACAAACATTTAAGATAATACCAAGTTTAGTTCAAACTTCTGACCTAGGGGGGAAAATCCTTTGTATGATGTGGCAGAAATGAACAGAAGTGAACATTACAACTATATATTTAAGGAAATTTTAGCCATTAAATTAACATGAAAAAGTCGCGGGCAACAACGTATATTCTTTTATTTCTTTTTGATGAACATTATTAGTACCCTAAAGTAGTCCCTCGGTATAGATTTTATGCTACTTCCTGACAGAAAACATAGAAGCTTCTTTTCCATTGCGTATAAGTAATGATATAGTGAAAATATTAGCATCCATCAATAGCTTTTCAGTATGGTCAATATCCCTTTATTTACGTTCTTAGAAAAGAGTGGCAATAGAGAAGGGGCTCACAATTAATGACATACACATCATAGAAAAAATGAGAAACCCATTATTTTAAACCTATTGAGCAATGTGCTAGCCTAATAAGTTCTGGAAGAAAAAATAATAACTGATTCAAATATAGGAATTGAATTTACCCTTTTTAGTTATTTCTGCCTGCAAGAGGCAGGGTTCTCAATAACGGCCACTTCATTAAGCAGAAACATCAATAACACAGTTTGAATGTGATGTTTAAAATTCCAGGTCTGATGCCAACTCAAGGCGAATGTAAAGAATCCTTCCTGCCAGCCAAAGGGACATTGTTCCGCCATTAGGCATTCCTGTTTTATCCTAAAATGAATGCAGGGAATTTTATTCCTTGTGATTCACTCTTTTATCTTACCCTACATAAAGCTTTCCCTTCTCAGAACACAAATGAAATTTGTAGTCTGTTTAATATATTTTAACTGATAGTATTCACTATCTTGTATATAGAACTTTTTTTTTCCCTAACCATACTGTTACTCTTTAGAGTTAGGAATTTTATATCCACATAGAACCTATGAGTCTATGCTCAGTAAGTGCTCAGAATTAATACTTAGAATCATGGATTTCTTGGTCTGGAAAGGGCTATGGAATAACACTGTCCAACTTCCCTCATTTTCCCAATGAAAAGCCTCAGACCAATTACATTTAAGGCATTTACTCAAGATTCCTCGGTTTTTAGTTTGATTGATACTTTTTCAAAATAAAGTTCAAAAAAATGGACTTTTTACTCAAGGGTTTACCGAGATATTTCATATGGTCAAATCATAATGGCCTGTGAAAGTAAACACCAAACGCAATAGGAGGTAGAGGAGAATAAATATTTGTGAAAGAATCATCCACATGATCACTGAATACAAACCTCCTCTCTCTGTTGGGAGAAACGTCCAAGTCCAGGGCTTTCTGGTGATGGAATAGTGGAGTGTTCACATTCAAGAACAACCTGGCAATGACATTTTCAACTTTCTTCATCTCTCTTGCAGAAATCCCTTTCTCCACACCTTTCTCTCCCGACAGGCAATTTTCTTACTCATATTAACTATCGCTTAGTATGGATAATAGAAAAATTCACTTTTCAGTTTTGCTTCTTAATCAGTTCATTCTGCTCTAAGTCAAGTTTCTTCTTTATTTTTTTGTAATTGTTTCAGTGTCTGCCATAAAAGGAAAAATCATCTCAGGGGCCTAATTTTGACAGCAAAAGGGAATAAAAAGTAAGAAACAATATACTCCTAAATTAGTACAAATCCAGATATTATGGCAAAATATATTTTAAAATTGGAGATACTTGTATAAGAAAAAGAAAACAAAATTACAGATATAACACTAGGCAAGGTAAGTGGATGTTTATGTAGAAGGAGAAAAAAAAACTCAACAAATTTTTTAAAGTTAAAAAATCTAGGAAAATTAGAAGCTAATGAATCATCTACCTGTCACATTACTCTCTAATAATATTTTTCCCCTAAATGCATATCTGAATAATTTCTCATCACTTCTTCACAAAACAATGCTTTAATATAGTTGTATTTAAAATAATAAAAATATTATCTGTTTTCTGGTTGGATAGTTATATTAAGAACTATCTTTATGTAAAGGCACTAGTATCTTAGGATTTGTGTCAAAATCAGGACAAATTTAACAATATGTTTTATACATAAGCTGTAAAATTTGGGGGCTTTATCATGTTTCTGACAGAAGAGAGTGTCTATTTTCATCAGGCCTCTATGAGAAATAAATTCTCCTATTATAATTTTTATGACTAATAATTGGACAAACATTGCATAGCCAGGCTTTTGGTTTCATATATATGACTTCTGGCTCTGCTATTTTGTCATGGCACTAGTTGAGTCAATATAGCAGATTTTTTACAATTTTTTTTTTTTTTTTGAGACAGACTCTCGCTCTGTCACCCAGGCTGGAATGCAGTGGCACAAGCTCTGCTCACTGCAAGCTCCACCTCCTGGGTTCACGTCATTCCCCTGCCTCAGCCTCCCAAGTAGCTGGGACTACAGGTGCCCGCCACCACGCCCGGCTAATTTTTTTTGTATTTTTTTAGTAGAGACAGGGTTTCACCATGTTAGCCAGGATGGTCTTGATCTACTGATCTCGTGATCCACCTGCCTCGGCCTCTCAAAGTGCTGGGATTACAGACGTAAGCCACCACGCCCAGCCTTTTACAATATTTCTAAAACCCATTTATATTATGCATGCTTAGTAATATACAAGGTACCAGTGCAGAAAATGGGTTCCCCATTACAACTCTGTTTCATAAAATTTAGAAATGGGATAACTTCATCCAAATTTATGAATTGTGAGTTTGAGGCCTACTATAGTTTGAATATCCCCTCCAAGATTCATGTTGAAATTTAATTGCTATTGTAAAATTATTGGGAGGTAGGACATTTGACAAGTCATTATAGCCATGAGGGCTTTATGCTCCTGGGTAGATTTAATTCCTTAATTAAAGGCTTTTGGGAATCAGCCCTTTTGCCTTTCTGCTTTCTGCCATGCGTTAATATAGCAAGAAGGTTTTTACTGGTTACTGGCTTTGATCTTGGACTTCCCAGCCTCCAGAACTGTGAGCTAATAAATTTCTATTTATTATAAATTACATAGTCTCAAGTATTCTGCGTCAAAATATGTGAATGTGGAGAAACTAGGAGAAAAGTAAGAAGTAAGTGAGAAGCACAGATGAGAAGAGAAGCACATATCTGTGTGTTATCATTAGAGTCAACATTTTATTTCATGTAAATTAAATTTGTCCTATAGATTTCATTACCTTTCACTATTTAAAAATAAATCAGGCTCAGCATGGTGGCTCATGCCTGTAATCCCAGAACTTTGGGAGGCTGAGGCGGGTGGATCACGAGGTCAGGAGATCAAGATCATCCTGGCTAACACAGTGAAACCCTGTCTCTACTAAAAATAAATAAATAAATAAAAATTAGCCGGGCATGGTGGCAGGCTCCTGTAGTCCCATCTACTAGGGAGGCTGAGGCAGGAGAATGGCGTGAACCTAGGAGCTTGCAGTGAGCCGAGATGGGGCCACTGCACTCCAGCCTGGGCGACACAGCGAGACTCCATCTCAAAAAAAAAAATTAAAATTAAAATAAAAAAATCAAAGTGCCTAGCAAATGCATAAACATATATTTCTATATTATTAAAATATTCTGTTTAAAAATCTCCTGATGGACTAAGACAGGAGCATAACAGTGATTCTGAGAAGGAAAATATGAATGGAGACTAAAAATTGAGGAAGCTTTTCACAAAATTGACTAAAATGAATTAACATTAAGTCAAAAAAAGCCACTCACAGATTTTTTTTCTTCCAGTGGGTATGCAGAATATCTAAACAAGGACAAGAGTATAGGATTGGATTAGCCTGCTCATATAAATCAACAGCCTTAAAGGGGAGATGTGAAAGTCACTGACTCTTCACAGAGATTTTGACATACGGAAACAAGTACAGCGTTACGTATAAGTCTTATTGACTTAAGACAGTTTCTCTATAGTGAGCATGGGAGTCATAGGCTTTTTGAGACAAGGAAGTGGGGAGTTGTCATTTAATGGTTGTACTTTTAGCTTTGCAAGACAAAAACATTTCTGAAAATTGATTGCACAAACAACAATGTGAACCTACTTAACACTACTTGACCCTACATATAAAAATGATTAAGAATTTAACCATTTTATGTTATGTATTTTTCTGTTATGTGTTTTCTTAACCACAATACAAAAAATATGTTTCACTTTCCAAAACTCTTGACAGTATTGTTTAAAATAGTCACCTTCTTTTCAGGCTTACTATAAGATGATACCTTTGTTTTTTCTACTTTCTAGCAAATCTGCTGTAGCCTTAAGCCATCACACAGTAGCAGATCAAAGCATGTGCCCTTTTAATACATACTTTAAATAATGCTCAAAGGAAAGTAGTTCCAAGCTACCTCAGGCCTCTTTGTACTCTACATTCCACAGAAATGATAATTATAATTGTAAATTATCTAGAATTGTAAGAGTATATACTTGTTTTATTGGCTAATTGAAGGAAAGGAGCAATAATTTAAGGTCTTTGTCCATTTAAGGCAGCAGGCTTGAAGTTAAGTGCTCATTTTGCCACAAATTTTCAAAATATATTAGCACATAATATTTCTGCATTATGATAACAGACACTGAAAGTACATTGGTGATTGCCATTTGTCCCTGCTCCAATTTGACAACTTCTTTGTGTTTACTCTTCAAGATTCTTCTAAATTAATGAACTGCTCATTAACACAACTCAATGTTAGCAGGTATAGTTGTGTGGCAGAAGTAGTAGTTATTCACAAATATCTTTTATCCCCTTTCTCCTAGACACTTGCCCTAGAATTAGGCACATCCATGTAGCAACATTTTATTCAATGGCATTTAAGGAGAGGTGTGTAGTTCAACTATTGGCCTAGTGCATGATCATTTTCCAGCATTCTCTGGCATACCCTTTTCCCCATTCCACTGATTGGTATGATGAGGCCTGCTGTGATCCTGGAAGCCACATTTTGAAAATTGCCAAGAAAGAAATAATATTTTATTGTATGTGAAGCACTATATATTTTGGCTTCTATTTCATAGCATTTTAGTTTACCTTAAATAATTCAAAGTTGAAATAAGCAAGCACATAAGCCCACAGAGCAGCAGGGATTCAAGTATAACTCCCCCAACTTAAAATCCTAGTTATCATGGATCATTGAAATGAGGCCTGTAAAACTGTGCATAGGCCTTGATAGACTGTCTTGTGTGAATCATTGTCTAAAGCCTATAAGACCATACTAAATGATAAGGATTAGAAATGGTATCATACTAAAATCAGAAGGGAAAACAGTAGGTCAATATCTTCTGTCTGCTAAAATCTGTCTGAGAATAGCAATTGCACATCCCCCTCACCTCGCAAATAAATTTTCTTGCCTGAAGATAACCTATTGTGTGTGTGCATGTGTGTGTGTGTGTGTGTGTGTGTGTGTGTAAGGAAATTGAGGGTCAGTCTTAGGTTCTTGGAAAGCAGACAGTGAGGCAGAGATTTGCATACAAGAAGTTTATCGGAAGGTAGTCTCAAGTTCAAGCCCTGTTGGTGAGTAAATAAGATAGGATTGGGCAGAGGGAGAAGTTGAATTGCAATGCAATTGCACCAAAAGTCTCAGCAGAGCACACAAAGAACAAAAAAATCAGAACCTGGAATTACTCTTCAGGAATAAATCAATGAAGGCAAGTAAATCAGACTCTCATACCTTTGCATCAGCCAGTCACTGCATGTGGACTGTCCATTGGACAGATAATTTACTTCTGAAGGTGTTTCCCGGCTTGAGTATCCCAATAATGCTCTACCTCACCCACTACAGAGAGGATTACTGACACTTTTAAGAAATATATGTATGGGGCACTCTAACTGATAATAACCCACTTCTGCTTATTCTTGCCAATTAAATCCCATTATCATTATGACTAGCTGTGCTATTTAATTTAATGCAGAAAGTGCTAGGAGAGATAGAAACTTTTATCCACAAAATACATTAATATATTGTTCAGACTATTTCCTAATAGTGAGCAACAGACCAAGGAAGAAAGAGAAATGAGTTTGAGACTGTCCTCTGAGGGAGTGCCTATGATAGGCCAACTAATATCCCAGAATAGATATGTAAGATCTTCAATAAGTATTTACTGATTGAAAAAAAAATCAGTTTAATCTATGTGAAGAAACTGTGTTCATAATTTCTCACACAGAGTAGGCCACCAAAATATTTATTGTGTGCTAGATTCACTTTTATTGTAAAAATGTGATTATGTATAAATGTATCTGTTTTTCATGCAGTATGCTTGACTAACACAGGAACTTACTTTTCTTTTCTGGAGCAGGTTGGTGTGGCTAGGAAAGAGAGCAATGGGTGTGATTTAATTTTGCACATTCAAGTTATCTATACTCACCAACTCCGTCAAGAAAAGTTCAAACTTTGTATCATAATTATTTTCCTTCTTCCAAGGCCTCCTTGTTCACCCCCCAGGCCCCTGCCAACCACCCCCCAAGCAAGCTTCTGAGTGCAAAAGGAAGAAAGAACAACAGGGAAGCAATGGGCCATCCATGGTCAATCTATTCCCAGTGACTACCATGTGATAGGATGTGACACCAGGCATTTGAACATCGTAACTAGCGTTACTAATGTCTTGGTCTTGGTAGGAATTTGAGGATATACACCCATCTGAATTAGTCTGTGATCCATTCTTTGGCATCTAAAGGCAAGAGCCACACAGTCAGAATCTTCTTTTCCCCTAGTCTCTTTCTTATTCGGTGGTTCTATCTGTAGTTCTTGCCCTTCTGTCCTATAGAAAAATGTGAGTGAACTCCAAAACACCTGCCCAGATGCTACTGTAAAACTTAACGGATTGACCACTTAGTGGTTTGTTGGAGGTATAAGCAAACTGACAAATTTGTGGTCTCTCTGGTACATATTCAATCATTTCATCTCCAAATAGTTTGAGTGTCACTAACTGTGACACTTACACCTCATGCATACACACAAAGTTTAGGGTCACCTAAATATACATTAGCATACTTAGCTAAACTAATCATAGCTGTAACAACACAGACGTAGGGAAATAGTAAATATTTATTGATAAATATGTGAAATAACAGAAGGTGTATGATGATGCTTGTGTTCTTCCATCATTGATTTCTATTCAGATTGATCTTATTAATTAACTCTACTTGGAAATTGTTGTTAGCTATAAAAATAGTTGAATGCAATAGCATCAGCTCATATTTCTTAATAAAACTTACAATTATAGAATAGGACTTGGCAAATTCCTCAATATAATCAGCAAGCATGATTTTAACATGCCCTTCAAAATGTATTTAAAAAACTCAGTAAAATAGATCTTTCCGGTATATTGGTTTTAATGGACTCATATTTACCCCTGGATGTTACCATATTTTTATTTGCTTATATAAAAAAGTGTCATATTGACAAAAAATCCTAATTGATGCATAGTGACCCATAAAACCAATATCATTTAAAATATGCAAAAGCAATTTTCTAGAGACCACATGGCTTTTTTAGTACTTTTCATCAGTAAATTTTTGCCATTTTTTATTGTTCTAAAAGAAGTACCAACATTTCAGTGACTTATATCTAGAATTTATTGTCACCCCTGAGTTGACTCCAACTTTGTTCTGTGTCTACAAACCAGAAATCTAACTGAATAAATAGTCTCTATGTGGGAAATATTGTGATTTTCATGAGGAAGCAGACCAAGGACAAATACATGTGATAGCCCTTGAAGTGCCAACTTGAATTCAGGTCATATAAGTCCAATTCATATACCACTGGCCCACAAAGTCACATGGCCGAGTCCGATGTCAAAGGCATGGCAGGGTTGATGCCTTCCAGAGGAGCCTTGGGTGTTGCATGGCTGTGGGCCGGGATGAATAATCATCTGACAGCTGGGGAAATAATGGCTTGGAACAATTTGCCTACAAATTAAAAAGAAGAATTTCATGAATCTCTATAAAAGTCGAATAAAAATGACTTCATTCATTAGATGTAATATATAAAATATTTCATTTTCAGCATTTGTTTTTCAAAACCAAGAGAAACTATTCAAGGTAATTGACTCAAAACTGGAAAGTCTTACAATTCACTTCATGGGAGAGCTTATTTTGAAAGCTTCCAGGACTCTTTTACTCTTGAGGTCAAAAATTGAATGACCAGAGTGATATAGATTCCTTTGTAAGGCTCTGGAACACTTGCTATATAGATTTTATAAACATAGAGGGTGTTAGAGAAATGAATATTTTCTTTTCTCTATGAGATGAAAAACATAGAACTCCTATGATTTTTTTTGTCCCAAAGAATCCTACTGAAAAAAACATAAGTTTGGCTTCTTTGGCACAGAAAACTATCCTCTGAACAGATAAGGAGAAAATCTGAACTACAAGAATTGAGATATCTCTATAAGAAATAGTATCAAAGATAGTGACACGGGCTGCTTTTTGGGAGAGAAACCTGCATATTAGGAGATAGAATAAAATGTTCTTTCTTTGCATAATATTTTGTGCATTTACAATAGAGCATTAAATACTTGTATTATCTGTTCAAAACATAAATACAAACAAATGAAAATCAGTAGATATCTATATTGACTTACACACTTTTAGGAACTCTCCTCTTTCCTCACATCCCTGTCTTCTTGCTCATTTTACTTTTATTACTTTGATAATAGATTATGAAAGTTTAATTAGCCATCAACTATATTTCTTATTAAAATGCTACCAAAATAAATGGCTTATTTTTAGTTTTTGTTCTCTTCTTGTTCTCTTTCTCCTTATTTCTCTTTCATCTTATTTTCCTAAAGTTATTCTATTCCACAAGTATTTTAAGATATCTAATAGCTGATTAGTACAATCTATCTTAAAATTCAAAAGGTTGAAAATGATTTTCAAAGAGGCACTTCTGAGAGAATGTAGATAGTGTAAGAAAATGAAAGGAAAAGATACATTCTAAGGAAGGTGATTTATTGCTGATGTACAAATCTAAACTGAACGTGATCAGACTTGAAAAAAATATAACCACTATTTCATAATACACAATGAGAGGATTTGTTTTGATGCTATTCTACACATCTAAAATAACTGGTAGGCTCAATACACACTGTCATTTTTTACCACTCCCTCTAACTGCAAGTACAATTTTCCCCAATGCATACAATTCTTCTAAGTGGCTGAAAAACTTCAAGTAATAATTTCCTCTTCTAATACGAGCATCTAGATATGATTAAGCAAAATGATGACAATATAGATTCAGGCTGAAGCTAATTAATATTTCAAAATTACAAAAAAGAGCAATGTGGCATGTAGTTATTATATATTTAAAGCCTGCCAATGAAAATTTTTCTGCAAACCAATTTTAAGTGTACACAAAATTTCATGATTGCTTAGTTATTATTGCGAAATAATTGGCCAGGGACAGTGGCTCACACCCGTAATCCCAGCACTTTGGGAGGCCAAGTCGGGAGGATCACCTGAGGTCAGGAGTTTGAGACCAGCCTGACAAACGTGGTGAAACCCTGCCTCTACTAAAAATACAAAAATTAGCTGGGCATGGTGGCAGCGTGCCAGTAATCCAAGCTACTTGAGAGGCTGAGGCAGGAGAATCACTTGAACCTAGGAGGAGGAGATGGCAGTGAGCCGAGATCACGCCATTGCGCTCCAGCCTGGGCAACAAGAGTGAAACTCTGTCTCAGAAAAATATAGAAAGAAATAAGGATAGATGAAATAATTGTTGGTCCTATGTAGACTGGAGCTAAAAGTGTTCTTAACAAAGTACTATTTTTTGTTCTTAGTATATTGTTGGTATATTGTCACCACTCAATCAATATGAAAATCTTCAATCAAGTTATCGAGTATAGACATAATTTTAAAAATGATAATTTCTCAAATTCAATGTATAAGTGGGTGAACATCTGCTTTAAAAATATCTACAATATCCTCTTATATTTACTGAAAATTAGAAACTAACGTTAGCATTTGGTGCATACCAAATCTTCTCAAACTCTAGGGGCTTAAAGTAAAAATCATTCATCCATCTGGCTCATGATTTCTTAGGTCAGATATATGTTCATTTTTCACTTTTATTCTTTGTTTTTTTATTTTATTTTCTCATTTTTCTATATAATTATTTGGGATATTAACTGATTTATCTCTTACATTTGATTTCTCATGCAAACTTATATTTTCCTGGTGTTTAGAATACCAGGATTTCAGCCAATGAAACTTGTAAGTTAGGGGGCTATTGGTTTCTCTGCTCTGGACAACACTCAACTGATTATAGCCAGAGTGGGTCATAAGCAAACATTATAGCTGTCATTCTTTTGTTTCTATATTCATTTTTCTTACTTCTGTTTTTTTTCTTTCCTTTATTTTCACATTTTCCTATAGCATTATTTGGGATATTTACTAATTTATTTCTCACATTTTACTTCCCATGAAAATTTTTATTCCCTTTGTGTTTATAATTCTACAATTTCAGCCAAAGAAACCTTTTACTTCTCTCTGTAGTCTACTTTTTGCATGATATTTAATTTACACTCTACAACAGCAAATGGCTTATTCCAAAAGAGTTCTTTATACACAACATGGGTGCAAGCATGACTTTTCCCCAGTTAGGATGTAAGAAGTAAATCCTGTAACTATCTCCCACTGGGAACCATTAAGCTGCTATAATAGTAGTTCAGACTCAGCTTTCTCACCTGTAATATTAAAGGTCACCCTCTACTCCCTGAAGAATATCTTAAGTTGAGTAGTATCTCTCATTTGGCAACCATAAGTAACAGCTCTTAGCAAAACTATTTTAAAAAGCTCTCTCTGATAGATCCTGTCCTCCTATTACCATATGGACTACAGCTCTTATCCCAAACTGTGTCAACACATAATTAACCTACTAAATGGTAAGTGCAGTAAGGAAATATAGTGAAATATAGAAAGAACTCAGATACTTTAATAAAAGTATTCTAAAACACCGCAATAGCAAAAAAATAAAAATAAAAACAAAGAGATAAGAAAAGCTTCCAACTAAGTATTTTCAAAAAGCATATTGAAAAAGAACAAGGCTTGTTGCAAAAACATAAAAATTTAAGTAATTTTTCTGTTCTCACAACCAAAGAGTTAATGTCAAATAACTAAACATTGAATTTTGATTTGGCAGGCTTTTATACAAATCTCAGGTTACTGTGCCATTAGAGGAGCTATGGATATCAGAAAGAGAATATTCCTGCCTCATTAATTTTCTTCATTTGTTCCCTGTTATCTCTGGCTTATTTTTAGGAAAAAATGATGCCAAGATATTCATAGTCTGTAGAATTTGTCATCTTCTACTTGAACTGATTTTCTATAAAGGTGCCAAGGCAATTCAATGAAAAAAAACTTTTTTTTTAGCAAGTGGTGCTGGGAAAATTAGATATCTTTATGAAAAAAGATGAATTTAGTACTTTTTTCATATAATACAAAAATTTATTTAGTAATAGATCATACCCCTAAATGTAATATCTAAAACAATAAAACATTTAGAAGAAAATATAGGAGAATATATTTGTGACCTTGAGTTGGGGTAAAATTCCTCAGATATAGTACCAAAAGAACAAACCATGTTTTTAAAAAGTAATCAAAGAGAACACTTTAGCACTTCAAAAGTCATTATTAAGAAAATTAAGACTGGGAGAAAATATTAGCGAACCACATTTCTCTTAATTTTCACAATATGCACAGAACTCTTACAATGATAAGCCAAATTCCAATTAAAAATGAGCAAAACTTCAATGTTTCACCAAAACAGATATATAAATGGATAATAATCACATGAAAAGATTAGTAGAGAAATGCCAATTAAAACATGATAAAATATTACTTTGTCCCACTAGAATGGTTGTAATGAAAATGACAGACAATACAAAATGTTGGCATTGGCATATGGCAACTGGAATCCTCTTACATTGCTGAAGGAAAAGTAAACTGGCACTTTGATCAACAGTATGGCAGTTTCTTTTTAAAAAAATGATTACCAGCTTACCTTAAAACTCAATGATCCCGTTCCAAGAAACTGTCCCAAGAAAATAAAAAAATCTGTCCTCACAGAGAGGCTTGGATATGACACAGCAGCCTTATGCATAAGAGTCAAAAAGTGGAAACAATCCAAGTGTTTATTAACTAGTAAATGGATGAACAGAACATGGGAGCAATATCCAAGCAATGCAATACTACGTACATCCAAGCAATGAATACTATACAACAATACAAATGGAATGAATACAGATGAGGCTCAAAAATACGATGCTAATTTAAAGAATCCAGGCACAAATGTTAACATATCATACAATTCCATTTATATTAAATGTCTAGAAAGGCAAACCTATAAAGACAGATAGGTGGTTACCTGCGGTTGGGGTTGGATTAAGGACAAACTGACAGCAAATTGGCACCAAGGATCTTACTGGGATGAAGTGAATGTTTTAAAATTGGATTGTGGTGATAATTGTACAAATGTGTGAACTTATTTAAACTCATTGCATTATACTTTTAGAATGAGTAGATTTCATGTTCTGCAAATAATAATTAAATAAGGATGATAAAAATAAGGGATATCAGGAATCATTTGAATTGCTTTCAAATTGGAGCTGTCAAGCAAATGAGAATTGGCATGGTATGTACATCATTGGCCTGATATTAGCAGAAAAACAATTCTTGTCATTTTACCATTCTGCAGGTCTGAAGCTGTTCAGTTTCAAATATATGTGTGTGTATATATCTATGTATATCTATCTGTATATATCTCATATATATATATATGGCACTTCTAGATGTTTTTGTATCTTCATGCAAATGATTTTATCTTTTGATTATTCCACTTAGGTGTTGGAAGGTCGACTTTAATCTGTAACTTCTACCTATTGGGTATCATTTTGCACTTTGAATCCAAGCAGACCTAGTTGGATGCTTATTCCACATGAAAAAACTTAAAAGAATGTCCTTATTGTCTCAATTAAGCCTTCTTTTCTCCAAGTGTTCTTCATTATAGTCTTAGATGTTTTTGTACAGCTAATATTTCTCTTTATTTCTGGGCTGTATTTCTATTCATTTTGCTTCAAATTGTCTTTTTTTTTTTCAAATCACACATTACTTTAATCATGAAGCGCTTATAGCAAAATAAAACTCTCTTGATTATCCTCATGCATGATTATATTTAGACAGGTCTTCATTACCCAGGACTCATAGATTTGACTTAAGCAACAGTAAGGAAATTTGACATTCTAAAAACTGTTATTTTGTAATGCAGTGATTTCCAGTATCCCTTAAAAGTTTCCTATAATCTTTTTTATTGCAAATGGAATGAAATTTGCTTGGCCGTTTATCAGAAACTATGCCTATCCTTGGGTGCCCTTGATATAAGTATGCTGACTTTGAATGGGCTATTTATCATGTAAAGCCCTCAGAGATCTCAAAGGAGCATAGTCCTGTGTATTGTCATGTTCAAGTAAAATCCAGTACGCTTACTCTAGCATTGAATAGAATGATGCTACAACAGACACCCTTGTACTGGGTTTGTATTATGTTAGCTCATGTTTAATGCCTTTATTCTGCATTGTATTACGATGAGGTGCACTTACCCATCTCTCCCTACTTCAAGATTTTATTATTTTTCAGGAGTTGTCTTGGGACTTTGGCTTAGATGATCTGATACAATGCTGAGTGGATAATATCACTAAAAAAGGAAAATGACCTTTATTTGCCCACTGCCTTCATTTTTTTATTATTTTTCAATTTAACGTTTTTGAAGATTAGATGTCTGTGGGCTTCTTTAAAATGAGGTCATTTCAGAATTGCTTAATTATATTATTTAAAGTCAGTCTGAGTTGCAGGATCAAATAAATGACGTACCGTAGCCAAAGACATAATCGAGAGAGGCTTCTTAGGACTTCTTGTCTCCACAGGATGTATGTTTGATTTCACACAGGAATAGTCAGGAAGAAGAATCTAGGAAAAACACAGGGCTTTAGAAATTTCAAAACCTATTTTAATTTCTTTTCTTTTTTTTTTCTCTCCCTACTTATATTTAATTATATACAAACACAATTTCCCCCTTTCTGGTTGGAGAATTTCAGTGTCAGATATTCAACTAGGAAACCTAACATTTCAACAAGCACTAAAATATGATTTTATTTTGATATCATTTTAAAGAGAGAAATATGAAAAACAATAATGTTGTTAACTAAACATTGCTAACTAAATTTAAAAAAATGGGCTCTGAAAATACAAAAAAGAGCAGTTCAAACCTAACAAAATGGTAACCAGGATATTGACAGAAAATACATTTTAGTGTTATATATTAAACATAATTTTAGTATATCCAATTTTGATTTTATCTATATCTATATGTATATCTAGGAGACATGATATCAAAGATGTATAATTACTGCTAATAAGAAAATAAACAGATTTTGTTTTAAAATAAGTGGATTTTGTTTTAAGATCAATAAAACACCTAAAAGGGAACACATTTTTAGATTTATTAGGTGCTTCTAAGGTATTAACATATGCTTGAATTTCTTGAACGCATACTCTCCAGTAGCAATAAAATCTAATGGATTTCATATACTTATTTTATAACGTTATACAGTATTAATTTGTTTGTTAATATTATTATTAACATAAAGTTGAGGTCTGGATGTACAGTTGTATCATGGGTTGGAAAATATTTTCATCATTTAAATTTTTTTCATACAGATAAATGTTAAACCAAATCCATCTTCCCTGTGTAAGTAATTCTGACTCCAAACTTTCTGTATTAGTTAATGACAGAATTTTTTTTTTATTTAAACTTGAAAATTCAGATCAATGTCTAACATAATCCTCTGCCTTATCATCTATGTCCAAGAAGTCATGGTATCTTTTAATTTCTCATTTCAAAATTATTTCAAAATACTTCATTTTATTCATTCCTCATTTGTCATGATTCATGCCTTAGCCATCTTGGCATCATAATTACATCTTGTGTTATTGTTTTCTCGATTCCCAGTAGATTAAAAAACTTCAAATAGAATATTTTAATTTTATAATTAATAAATATATATAATTTATACAACTATATGTTATATGTTATATACTATATTATAATATATACATTTATATTCTATACTATATTGTAATATAGTATATATACTAAGAAATATATTCATAACATATTTATATATATAATAAACATATGTTAACCAAACTTATTTATTTATTAATTTGTCACAACATAAGTCCTAACCATAACCAGTCTGGTTTACAGTAGCTTCAAGTCTATGTGGATCTTCCCACCTCTCCAAATTATACTCTTTTTTGAGGACCCATTTTAAACCCAGTTATATTTTGTGGCCTTCCCTAATAACCTCAGAACATATCAGTATTGCTAACATTTCTTGTATCTCTCCTTTTTACATACTCACTAATACCCATAGCTGTTCCCAAAATGTAGTTTGTCCTATTTTTTGGAGCAATGGGGTGGTAGTAAGGTGAGAGTTTGGATTTCAGTCGTTGATGGCAGCTCTCAGGCTAAGTAGAAAGCTTTACCAGTTAGTACTAAATCTGATAATTCAGTTTTCACAGGCATCACTTTGAGAAAGAAGAGAAAGGCATTCCAATTACACCCACCAGGTATAAATCATGATTCTGAATCCTGACACTGATTGTCAGGATTCAGTGTGTGACCTTGAGCAAAAGATTATTTATCTTTTTTTTTTTTTTCGAGATGGAGTCTCACTCTGTCACCCACGCTGGAGTGCAATGACGCAATCTCAGCTCACTGCAACCTCCACCTCCCAGGTTCAAACAATTCTCCTACCTCAGCCTCCCGAATACCTGGGATTACAGGCACCCACCACCATGCCCAGCTAATTTTTTGTATTATTAGTAGAGATGGGGTTTTACCATGTTGGCCAGGCTGGTCTTGAACTCCTGACATCAGGTGATCCACCCACCTCGGCCTCCCAAAGTGCTGGGATTACAGGCGTGAGCCACCGTGCCCACCCAAGAGTATTTCTCTTCTAACTAAGCCTCAGTTACATCCCCTATAAAATGGAAATGGGTTTTTTTTTACATTACCGTTGGGGCTTTTGAATAAGATAATGTTCATAACAAGCATACGTATGGACTTTGAAAATTAGTGTATTCCATATAAGGCTGAGTCAAATGTACATTTCTAGTCAAGTCAGTGAGAACACCAGTAAAACAGGTCGATCTCTACCCGTTTGCAACTTTGCTGAGTCTGAAGGTCATTGTTTTGTGACAAAGCTTTCCTTTTCAAATGTTACAGTTATTTTTATTCCGAATGGAGACGCATTTATGATTGGGATAAAGTTTTTCATTATAAGAATAGTTAATTTGTATATACCATTGGTTGGGCATGTGGTTGGTGGTAAAATATGTAGTTGCTGTATACTTCTGAGAGCCGAAGTCTTTTTATTTGGTTTCCAGAGATTATAGTGTTCACTATTTTGCATTCACCATTTGCCTTAACAAAGCAATCTATATTATAGGATTCAACAGTTACTTGTTGGATGGATTTTTAAAACATCAGTCAATTCATCAGGGGAAAATGGTATTTTTTAGTAATCAAAATATTTTGCACCATTGAAATCAATAACTCTATTCTGCTATATCATATGACAGTAAAGAAATATGAAAGACAAGCATTAGAGGTTAATGAGGACAAAACAGAGTTTAGCTGCCATAACCCAGATCCTGACTCCACTGGTACCATGTGACCATCAAATGTTATTCTTATTTGTAAACTAGATAAAATAATAGTAGCAGCTTGACATGTGGTATAAAACTATAAGTAAAATATTTAATAGGATGCCTGATGCCTAGTCAGTGCTCAGTAAACTAATCTATTTATTATTAGTCATGGATATCATAGTATTTTACTATCACTGCTGCTAGATAACTAGCCCAATCTCTATTTTCTGCTATGTGCTGGGGCAGAAGTTTCTATTCAATAGTTCATGAATCATCAACTCATCCCAGTCTATCTGGATATCACTTCTTAATCTGAATCCAAATGCCAAAATACTCAACATCACAGTTCTGTGAACCTATCGTCTCTGTCCTTCTGTCCCTTTTTTTTTCTTTTTCTTTTCTTTTTTTTTTTTCCTTTGAGACAGAGTCTCGTCAGACTCCCAGGCTAGAGTGAAACAGTGCGGTCTTGGTTCACTGCAACCTCCCACTCCCTCGTTCAAGCGATTCCTGTGCCTCATCCTCCCAAATAGCTGGGATTACAAGCACATGCCACCACACCCAGCTAGTTTTTGTATTTTTGGTAGAGATGGAGTTTTGCCATGTTGGCCAGGCTGGTCACGAACTCCTGGCCTCAAGTGACGCACCCACTTAGGCCTCCGAAAGTGCTGGGATTACAGGCATGAGCCACTGCACCTGGCCCTGGCCCTTGTTATTGACATAAATATTATCCTATGCTATCAGATGACAGCTTACATTTTCATAAACCCTCTGATTTCAGTTGCAGCTGGAGGGTTAGATTCACATGGCTGTGATTCACTATTTTGCTGATGGTGAATTTCTCAAGTGAGCATGGCTTGTCTTTGCCTTCTGCCCTCAGACTCTTTCTACACGAAAGGGGGAGATGATAGGAGTCAGTGTGCCTACATATGTATATATATTTCAAAAGAGGGCACAGTTACGTCCCTGAGGGGAGCCTTAGGCTGACAAGGGAAGGAGTTTTCTGTTTTTTTTGCTTGGGAAATTCTGAGGGATATTCTATATACCTCTCCAGAAATCCGAGTGTAATTAAGCTGTGTTACCCACGGTGGCCACCTCAATGAAGCCCCTTTACACTTGCTCTGAAGATAATCTGACACATAAACTATATGCACGTGGGTCTTTCATTCATCCTCTGCTTCAATGGGAATACAAGCAAGATCAACAATGTTCAGGATCTAAAAACACTGAACACTGAATATTTCTTTTCCCTACAATATATATCTGTAATTAAATACATGTCAGTGATTCTGATGCAATTTCTTGCTTTTGTTTATTTTTTTCTCTTTGAAATCATTTCAGTTGAATGTGCACAACATATGAAATGGCAAAACACATATAAAGAAAATGTGTTCTTTTCCCTAGACATGCAGACCACCTGGTAGGCAACTTCATCTCTTTGTTGTTTTGGGGTCAGAAGAGAATGTCGTAGATTGTATTACTCTTCAAAATTATCATCACTGGCCTCTGTGTGGCTCTCTAGAAAGGTTATATATCTCTGTCATATTGACCTCTGGCTTAGCAATGTGTCTGTGATTTTCTTTAGTCAAGGATATATACACAGAAGTGGGGTTAGTCACTTCAGAGCAAAAGTTACTGTTTTAGTTGTCTGAATGAAAATTCCCTTGTTTTTATATCTTCTTTCCCTCCCCTTTGAGGATACAGGAAATGTCCCATCAGTCTGGTTGGGTCTGGCAGTAAAAAAGCTGTGAAACAAATCTTCACAATTGTTTGTATATAATTGTATAAAATTGTGTATAGTTAACCAATAATAAAATGTAGAGGAGACAGAGATACCCATTAAGAGACTGTTACAAAAGTCTTGGAAGTAAAAGTTCAATCAATGCAATCCAACAGCTATGACAATGATAATGGTGGATAAAGAAAATGATAAAATGATGCTTTTAACTAGTATTTAGGAAGTACAACTGATGGAACTTGACTCACTGGATGTAAGTATAAGGGTAACGATACTTGAATAGTGGCTCATATTACATCATGTTTTAATTTTTCACGGCCTTGTGATGAATTTTCTTTTGTTTATTGCCCTTTGATCTCTTCCTCGCCAACAGAGTAATCTTATAGCATAATTTTGATGATGTCATACCTTTTCTAAACAGCCTTTATGGCTTCCATTGCTAATAAATTAAGTCTGATGTCCTTAGCCTTAATTATTTGTCCTAATGTTTTAATATCCATTTTTATCTTTCCAGTCTTTATTTTCTTAAACAAATTCTATTGATTTATTTTATTTTCCGAAAAGTAATTTTTGAGTTTCCAGGCAAATGCCTTGTCCCAGTCATTACATTACAAAACAAGCTTTAATGCTTGTTTTCCTACCTCTGCTTACATTAATTGTAACTTGTTTTAGTCAGGAGAGATTAGATACTACTAGTCTAGTAACAAAAAAATCCCCAAATCTCAGTGGTGTAGAAATAAAAGCTATTTTATCCTTCCATGCTACATGTCCATCTAGGGACAAATAAGACTCCAATGTTCTCTTCTTTCAACAACCCATGCTGATAGAGTGCGCACAAATTTATATTTGTTCTTCAATATTCTGTTTGGAAATGGCAATATTCTTTTCCATTCATGTTTCATACTAAGATGCCAAGACTGGGGAGAAGTGCATCCCTCCTACAGGGAGAGCAGCAAAAATCTGCAAAACACACACACCAATGTAATTTATTACATGATCATTTTCAATCTCTTTCAAATCTCAATGATTTCATTAATTTGATCTTCTCCACTCCACCTTCAGATGCTCTTTTTTCTTCAACTTTTGCCGTTTGTACTAATAATATTGCACATCTTACAATGCGCTAGGAGGGGTCAAAACATTTATTTTTTAAATGACAGATAGTAAACATTTTAGGATTCATATTGTAAGTCTCTGTGGCTACTACTTGACTCTGCCATTGTAATGCGAAAGCGGTCATGGACAATACATAAAGAAATCGGCACCACTGGGTTTCAATAAGTCTTTATTTACAAAAGCAGGTGGCTGGTCTTCTGTTGTAATTTGTAGACCCCTTAGCTAGAGCAATGACTGTCCAACCTGAATGTGCATTGGAAGCATCTGGAGGGATATTAAAACATAGATCGCAGTGTCCCATTCTCTTAAAGTTTCTGATTTGATAGGCTTGGGGAAGGGCTTGAGAACTTGTCTTTTCAACAAGTTCCAGGTGATGTTTTTGCTATTGGTCTGGGGACCACACATTGAGAACTCTCGACCTGTAGTACAAAGACAATGTTCTGTAGTCAATGACCTATTATTTGTGATCAAAAAAGGAATTTAAATAAATGAAAAATATACTATACAATTGAGGGAAAAGCAATGTTTATGATTCATTTTTTCATCAGCATATTCTTTTCTTCACAAAATCCAAGTGACCAAACTTAGCCAGAGACTGCCCTGAATGAAATATTTATTGGCTACATAAATGAGTTACAATAAAGTTAGCATTCACCTTGTTATAGTGACACAGCATACAGTGTGTAAATATTACATTTTTCCGTGCCTCCCTTCACGTGATAGACAGGTCACGAAATTGTTTTGTTTGTAAAGTCTCCCCAAGCCATTTCAATTTGTCACGATACACAAAGCTTGGCTACACCACCTACATCAACACATTTGTATTCAGTGAAACAAAAAGATTTCAGACAGTCCCAATAATTTTATTCTTTTTCAACACTAGCATTGAAAAGACATTGTTATTTGTGTACAGTCCTCCTGTAGGGAGACATATTTTTAAAACTGTATTGAGACTCTGTACTCTTGAGATTTTTTATAGAACAAAATTAAATGATTATCTGAAATATTGTGGCATTCTTGATGTCTGAATAATAAAATGACTTAGAGTCTTAGAAAATACACGATTCTTGGTGAATATATTTAAGCAAATGTTTATTCAATAGTTAGCACTTTAATAGTGAAACACAAAGAAAGATAATCATGGTTAAAGAATGCAAAGTTGTTTTGTGGCTTTTGGAGGAATAGGTTTTCAACAATAACACTTTTCATTGTAATATTTTATTGCCATTATAATATTCTATAAAGTTTTAGGTAATTATTAATAAATTCTCTCATATAAAGAGAAATTAACATTAATTTTTAAAATCTTACAATATTTAAACATGACAAAATTAAAACAGACCAGACTAATGTATATAGTCTTAGCAATCTTGAGTTCTTCATAGACTCTGAACCAAGTTAAATCAGCCTAGAAACAAGTAAGTGAATTAGGAGAAATTGCTTGAGCATGGTTATTGTCACCAATAAGCATCTGATTCTCGTTTAGACAATTAAACATTGAGACAGCTTCCAGGTAAACGTAATTAATTGTCTTGATTCACAAAAAAGACTCAAGCGACTTAGTGGAGGAAAGACTAATAGAACCCAAGATTTTTTCCTCCCAGGTGACAGTTCTCTGATATGCAATAGATCTCAAGCATTTAAAAAGCAAAGCTTCGGGTGCTAACCCAGGTGCTATCACTTTCTCAGCGCCTAATCTTCACCCGCTGCTAGGCTCGTTTAATGAGTCTTCTGAGAGCTAAGGAGTCCTCGGATTCATTCAAAGCATTCTACAATGAACGCTAGGGGGGAAAAAGAACAAACAAAATACATTTCAAATATAGGATTCAATTACTTTTCACTACTCAATGATGTGTCAAAGGCACGCTGTGTTTTGTTTTGAGGGCGGGGAGATGACAGGAGGGAATCCTGGGCCCCCATTGGCTCGCCGCTCGCCGCTGCAGTTGAGCTCCAGCCGCTCCGAGAGCATTATTGATCTGAAGGGTAAATGTGGAGGGAGCCACAGAGAGGGGTCCAGGCTTTTCTGAGAAGAGAGGCAGCCTCTTCCAGGAAGAAAGTGGTGTCTACTGGCTGCCCGGCCTGGAGAACCTTCTTTGAATGAAAACGGACAAAATGCAAAGCAGTGTGTTGGCACAGTGATTTGGAAAGGGGAAACAGAAGAGAAGGGTCTCACCTTCCGCGCAAGGCTGAGCTGTTGGCACCCTGCTGCGGCCGTCGGTGCTGCTGCTCCTGCAGCTGCCTTTTCTGCCATCAGGTAAGGCTTCCGTTTTTGATTGGGATTGCACCGCGTGTGTGTGATCGCTTCAGGGTGCATGCACAGAAATTCATACATGATTAATAAAGTGATGCCTAGCGTAGTGAGAAGCTGAACGAAGCTGCACACAGATCTGGCAGCTGAATTAGGAGCTTGTGCGTGGTTTTGCTTTGGGAAACTTCGGTAAGTTCTAAACAAGTCTCTGGTCCTCAGACCGTGAGAGGTTACGTGAAAAGAGGAAGGAAAGAAATGTTTTAACCTCAAATGCATCTTAGCATGGCTAAATTTTCAAATGAAAATAAGTAGGTGTGCTAGATGTCCAACTAGTTATTTTATAAATGGCTTTATAGATATCTGATTTTTACAACAAAATAATGAATGCTTTATTTTCAAAGAGCTTCCAGAGATGCCGACCCCCCTCACTCATTTCTCCACTGACGCTGAAATTTATGAACTTCATTCTTCATTTGAAAAATACCACTGTAAAACCATTTAAATGTTTTAATGGCCTGCCTCTCATGGTACAGCCATTTGAGTTTCCTACCACAAAACTAATCTGGGACAAATGAAAGAGATAGATTACCAGATCTGCTGTGGGTTATATAATATGCATTTCCAAATTATTTTAAGGTTATTGATCATTTGGTGATACATTTAACAAGGAGGAAATATGTGTGATATAGGACATAATGGCAAATCATTTTTCAAAAAAGACCTTCAGCATTTTATAAGTATTTTCTTATGTTTTTAACATCATTATTTGTTTTTTGCTACATCGGGACCACAGTGTATTTAGAACCTCTGTACTTCAGAGTACCTGATATCTCTTATACACATTTCTCTGTACTCTCTGGAGAGGGAACTGACATACTTCTGGCTGATTCTGCGACCATTTCATGATTCTCAATTTCTCATCGAGTATTTTGAAGCTCATTCACAAACTGCTCAGCTAGAAAATTACCTTACATACTGAGGGGGAAAAATTCAAATAGAGTAGATTCTGAAAATGTGTTTACAGTTTTAAATTACACTATACATGACCAAAACAGGAAAAATGCAACCATGCCAAGCAGGTATTAGTTTGCTTGATCTTCACTGTATACCTGAGCAGTTGTAAGGTTATAAAATAATATCCAGACACACAGCTGTCAAGAAATACTGAACCTCATCATTCAGTGGCAGCGCCTCATCATTAAATTATCCTAGACAATTTAAAATATCATCTTATATATTTTTATTATTATGTCAACAGGAGAATTCAACCGAGTAAGTTTTTATTATAAATAATTCCATGATTCTAGCAGAATGTCTCTTCAGAATTGAAAGGCAGATGGTTACTTTGCCCAAACCATGAACAGGTGATTGACGAATTGTTTTGGAGTGGTTGAGTGGATAGCCACATGCAAAACAGGGGCTTCCCTTTAACTAATTTAACTGATACATCGAGTTATTCAGCAACAATATTTAGAAACTGTCTCTCCACCTTCTATGAAAACTACTGAAGTAAAAAGAGGTTTTCAATTAAGTTGAAAATCGAATTCTAGAACATAACATATTTTTCTCTTAATAACTCTTACTTCAGAGACCAGTTTCCAAGATTAGCCCTGGCATTGTTAATCCCCTTCCCCATTAAAAAAATGTTTTTGATTTTCTGTGTTGTTCAGTTAATCTCTGCTTGCTGTGTTCTTAACTTCTACTGTGGTGTGCCATTTCCAAGCAGTAGGGGGAAGTTTTTAAGCCACGAATGCTTTTTTATTTTCTACTCAAACTCACTCCTCTCACTGATCTGCTTAGTGATGTGATCATTTTAGATAATTCCTACAAAAAAGAGAAAGCTGCATTATTGTTGGGGGGAGGGGGAGGGAGTGTGAGTCATTTCTTCCACACACGGAATGATATGTATTAAGTTCTTACTACAGTACAAACAGTGTTTAGTTTATGGGGAAGAAAATTTCTCTTAATGCCTCATGTGACGTACTTACACCTCATATAACTCTGTCCTTTGAGGATGGAGCATAAAACTGATCTCCTTAAATTGAGCATCTTTTGAACCTGATATTTTGGCAGAGCCTATTTCATGTAACAGTCTGGGATATAGGTTGAAATCAATCCTTTATCATTATGAGATTAATAAGGATATATGTCACTCTTGCCTCTTAAAATGCATTGTGATGAACATCAAATCAGTCTTGCCATGATAGGAGGATTCATAGAGTGATGGCTGTCTTTAAAAGTGAGCCATGTTTTCATGTAAAAATATAAAATCTAAGGGCTTGGGTAATAAAATGACCTACTAGCAGACTCTGTTGTAAATTTCTTCCTACTTCCAAAGGGAAAGAGTGATTACAGATGTCTCATTTAAAGTAAGATATTATCCTGTTCATCTTCTAGCAAATTATTGCTGTTTTAAAAGTAATTATGTCAGAAATTATCATGTGATCATTACATCAATAGAGAACATTTTGCTTATAATCTAGTACCAATTGATATTCCTATTTGTGTTAAATTATAGGTGGAAAATATTTATCCTTCCTGTTTAACAAATATTGCATTTTATTTTTATGAATAGGCTTAAATAGTACCCAAAAATACATTTAATTGTTAAATAAATGAAAATGTATTATTTTTACTGGGAGCTTTTTATTTTGCTAATACTGAATAACTGAACAATTTAAACTCAGAGCTTTTAAAAGCCTTTTAACTTTCAGCTTTAAGACAGTTGCAGCTTTTTCCTGACTTACTATGCTAGGAGGGTAATATATCATAACCAAACTTTAAAAGGAAAATGTGTGTGTGTGAATGTGTACTATGCTGCCTGTATTGAATATCAATAGTAGTTACTCAAAGTTGTTTTTAAGCATCTCATCATAAGATGATTAATAAAATGGAGTAAATAACTTTTTTACAACATATTAAGTGAGAGTTATGACTGTTCTAAAATTACAGATGAACTCTACATAATGTTATTCTACGTTTTGTGAGATTATAGATAAATGCTTTGAATTCAATTATTCAATTACTCAATTATTAATTATCACTTCATTTAGTAAGCACCTGTTAAATTATTGAAAACAAGGCATATGTTTACCAGTCTTATAAATTTAGCTGTATTCAGATTTGTGTCTATCATGTTATAGCTGATGGTATTAAGGGATAAATTAAATCTTCATTATGCTTCAGGTATTTTTTTACAGTGGTTTTCTTTCATAACCCTTGCTCCATGAATATTTAATCCATTGCTCTACAGATGGATTTATATTACCTTGAATGTAAGATATGTGTTTCTTGAACAATGTAAAATTCTTCTTAAAATATATACATCTCATGCATATATCTGTGAAGGTTCTAGTGAGAAACAATGAGACTCCAATCTGTACACCGATACCCATTAGGGAAATACAGGACTTACGTATTATTCCTTAAATCTATGTGTTCAAATGGATATATGTTACTCTTGCCTCTTCAAATGTATTAAGTTTTTACTATGTGTTCAAATGGCTGAATGATGCATGCTTGGTTCCAAGTCCAAATACATAGTCAAACATTAGGACACAGGTAGTGTATTTAGACTTACCGGCAAAGCACGATGCTAAATACAAGTAAGGTTGAATATACCTTTAGTACACCATAAAATCAATAGGTTCTATAATTCCAATTTCCTGGAAAATTATTATAACATACAAAAAAAATCCCCCATGTACAAAGATGAGAGTCCTGATGCACCGTCTACATGATGATGTGGAAAGTTCAAAACTTGAGTCAGACAATTGTTTGAAACCATAGTTTAAGGATTATTACATGAGCAATTTGGGAAAAGTTATTTAACTTTTTGAACTTTGAGTTATTCTGTTAATTTAATTTGAATTACCCCACAGATAACACTTATCATGGTCAGGTCTTTCTCCTTTTAACCTTCCTCATCTCTAAGCTAGATTTGTAGAGGATAACTACAGCCACAGCTGGAACATGGGGTTGGAAGAAAATATGTAATGTCCAGGGTTTGTTATGTGTTGAATTTTGTCACGTTGGGGTAAAAGGGGTTCCCAAGTGACTTGTCTAAAAAAAAAACATTTTTTGATGAAATGTGAGTCCTCACTCTGAAGAAGCACAATATATCCTAAACTTTATATGATATGATGAGAAAAAAAAATCCACACTTACGTACAGCATAAAAAAAGTACAATACAGAAAATAAAGATTTCCAAAATGGGGAAGAAAGACAGATTATCTACAAAATATAACAATTAGACTGAATCAGTATTCTCAGTGACAGCAAGGAGAGCCAAGAAATGTGTACCCATAATTCCATTATAACTCAAATAAAATAATTGCCAAGCTAGAGTTACACACTGAAGAAATTCTCTTTGAAAAGTAGAGACATTTTCAAACAAACAAAATCACCAGCATCCCTCCCTGATAAACTAACTAACCAATGTGCTTCAAGAAGGAAAATGATCCCAGACAGAAGATCTGAGATCCAAGAAGGACTGGGAAGCAAAGAAAATGGAGACCATGGGGGTGTGGGTAACAAACTTTGATCGTGTATGAACAATAATATTACAAATTTATGGTGTTACATAATTGAACTAAAATACTGGACAAGAATAACAAAATTGGGGGATAAAGTCTTGCAAGATGGTTACACTGTTTGAAGGAAAGAATAGGCTATTAATCTGGCACCACATTAGGTAAGTTAAAATGTAATCACTAAAAAGCAGCAATAGTATCAGTAATTGATTGATTAAGTAGATAAAACAATCACTTGAAGGTTAAAAAAAGAATGCTTTCAATGGACAGACATGGATATTCCTGGAATTTGAAAAATTAGTAAGTTTACATTGTGATGAAAGTTTTGCCATCATATTTCAAAAGGTTAACATGTCAAATAAAGAGACAACAGGAGGTAACCAGAGAGTTAGTACATAATGAAGGGAAATTTGTAGTATTTTGTTTTATAGAGACTTGAACACATGAATAGATAAAATAGAAAACATTAAAAAGAGACTGATCACCAGGCATGGTGGTGCACACCTTTCATCCCAGCTACTCAGGAGGCTGAGGCAGGAGAATCACTTGAACCCAGGAGGCGGAGGTTGCAGTGAGCCGAGATCGCACCATTGCTCTCCAGCCTGGGCGACAGAGTGAGACTCGGTCTCACAAGAAAAAAAAGAAAGAAAGAAAAAAAAAGAATAAAAGAAAGAGGCTGATCATACAGTAAAAGGGAATTAAATGATGGATTAAAGTTTTAGTGAACATGAAAGTTTATAATATCTGGAGGATAGATGAGGGATACAATTAGAAAATGTCATTAATTTTAATAATGCCAGTGATATACTATTTTTTTAAAAATCATATAATTTTATCTGGCACTTCAATGTTTATTCAAAAAAGGATTATTAGGAAATAACCAAAACGTGATGCTAATTAAACGATCAAAAATAATACTTTTAAATGTAATGGAAAGAGCTTCAAATGCTCAGTAAATGTTGAAAACCAGAGGAAATTAACATTAATAGTTTCCATTCTACAGTGAAAATATATTTTGGGGTGCTATCATCAGCACTAAATGAAATGATGTATTTAAGACGATTTCTGAGTAAAGAATGTAGGAATGATTGAAGTAACAGCAGATAACAATATACCCAAATGAAGTGTCTTCCTGCAACTTTCTGAGTCAATATTTCCATGAGGGGTTGCCATTATTTTAAGGGATGTGATTGCAGGCAGGTTTTAAAGCAAGATTTTACTGAAACTCTACACTTTCCTAATTACTAGGAAATGATAGTGACTGAAAAGTGCAAAACAAGCTCTTGGCAAGGCTTTAAGTTATATGTTTACTTAGGTAAGAATAGAAAACCTCAAATAAATTTCTCAAGTAAAAGAGTGTCTTATAGTGAGAAATCTAGTTATATTAATAACTATCCAGGATTTGTGCTTTAACACCTACTAGAAGAAGATCACCAATATAAGATCCTACAAGAAGGAAGCCCAGTATAACAACTGTTGTTGAGAATGGAATTGGAATGAATTGTAGTCGTGTCAATAACCTAACACATAGGGCAAATTCCTATTTATATTAAACATTAACAATAAAAATTTTAACAACGGTATTAAAAAAATTCTTTCATATACTCAAATCTCAACATTTTACATTTTGCTGACAATTAATTTTTATATGCCACAATTATATAACACCAGTGATGAGGGAAAGAGGTATAAATGAAAATATATGGCATGTGATCTGCCCTGGCCCAGAGGTTTACACACACCTCCAGATAGGGATATTGTCAAGCAGGTGTTACTTTTTAAAAACAAAAGTGAAGGTCATGCTTATTTAAAACACACAAAACATCACAAAAGCACAGACCTGTCTCATAGAGTTTTGGCTGGATTGTAAAATGTGGAATCTTTGGGAAGTAAATTTGACAGTATCCATCAAAATTCAAAATCCAGCAATTCTAATGTTTAGATGATTTTTTTCACATTAAATCTTTCATCTGCTTTTTCTTTATTAGTTTCTGGTTTTATTCTTTCATCACTGAGTGCTTCTTCTTATTCTCTTTTTCTGAGTTCTCTGTGTCTTTTGACCTGTAAATACATCTATCAGAGCATCCCAGGATACCATCATAGGCCCACTCATCTCTCTATCTAGAGAATCACTGAAGGGGTAATTGCATCCAGTAGCATGGGTTTAAATGCCATCTGGATGCTTTTTCCAAATCTATGCCTTTACTTCTAATCCCTCTGCTGACTTCAATTCAGAATGCCTGCTCAATATTTCTATCTAGGAATCTAACAGTCACTTGAAACCCAACTTGTTCAAAACCAGACTTTTCATTTCTGCCCCTCTTTACCGCACCCTAAATATACCCATTTTCCTAATCTTCTTTATCTCAGTAAATAACATAATTATCCATCCAATTTCTTAAGACCTAAGGGTCACTTCTGAGACTTTGCTCCTCTCCATTCCACCCACATGTGGTACAATATCAATTCTACTGCTTCCTGACTTCCTTCTCTAAATATGTCTTCAACCCAGTAACTTCAAAAACCCAGTAACTTCAATCCAGTAACCTCACTTCCTATACCACAGTCACCTTCGCTCCAGACACTATTGTCTCACATCTAGACTGTACACTAGTCTCTAAACAGATATTTCTGTTTCTACTTTTATACTCTCCCTTCTCCCCGACCCCAACTCATTACACAGTAGCAGATGTACACTCTCCGATATAGTATCAAAGTACTTCCCATGGCTTAAAACCAATATCTTGTCAAGCCCCTCCATTTCCTTTCTCATTACGTCAAGTTCAACACTGCCACAAGGCCTTGGCGCTCACCCAGCATCCCCCTTTGTTTCATGTAAATCTTGGTTTTATTGTCATTACATCAGAGTGATGTTCTCTAACAATTGTCTGAAAGTAGCACTTTCTTCTGCAGAAGAATCATCTCTACCCTTATCCAACTTCATTTTATAAAATAGGACCTACTTCATATCATATGATGATGCAAGCCCCATGAGGAAAGCCCTATAATAGTCGCACATAGAGGGCACATAGCAGCCCTCAATCCATTTTGTTTGGTGAACGAATAAATGAAGGAATGGATAAGAGTGCATAAATTCACCCAAAAGTATGCCTATTAAAGGAGTTTGAGCAATTTACATCATAATATGTTAAAAGTGGATATCTTGAGGGAGGGGTGTGAGACATACTCGTGAATTATAGTACTTTCTATTGTAATTTATTCATGCATTTACCTTGGCCTATAAATGTACTAATCATTAGCTGGTGATGTTATTAGTGTTAGGATTTGGTACAGAAACTGTGTTCTCCTGTTAAAATGATTAGGGGAATAAAATAAACACAATGTGAGTGTCCTTCTACAAAAAACAAGTTTTTGCAACTTAAGGCAAAATAATATGGATGAATATTGGTTATCTTTTCAACTCAAGATTTAATAATATCTCACTATGTATAATGTGCTCAATTTCCCGTGTTGTCTACAATTAAAATAAAACACCCGGAGCATACTGAAAAGGGGGAAGAAGGCCTTTCAAGTTTGCCTTAATTGGCTCTAAGATTCAGTTTTGTTATATGAAGAGAACAGAGAAGAATCAGTATTAACACCTGGACTCAACTCTATGCACTGTCTGGAGCTCCTAAAGTAGCAATTAAATGACTTAATCTTAAAGCCCTCCGAGATTTAATTCAGTAGCTCTCTTCAGAAGGGCATTGCTAATTCTTCCTGAATTGCTGCTGCTTCTAACTGCACTGCCTTAATTTGAACAGTATTTGAAATTCCATTCTCTCTAATGGATTTAATTGCATTATGAAAGTCAGCTTAGAGTGGAAACTTATTTCCTCTTGTGGAGTATCTCTCTACAGAGTCTTTTCTTTTTCTTTGAACTTGACACATATGCACATTTATGCAGAATAATGTCACAAATGCAGTGTTCCCTGTTTAAATCAAGTATCAAAGAATGTTCTTTAAAATATTTATATATACACCAAAGGATGTTAGCTATCCAGTGTGCCTACAATTTTGTACAAGCTCAGATTGTCTGATCTAATAGACTCTAAGTCCTTGGAATATTAACAGATCTTTGAGTTTTTAAGCAGGCAATGACCTATTCATTTAGAGGGCTGCTTCAGTAAAGTGAAAGCTCACTTAGGTTAATGATGGATCATGAAGCTGTTTGATTTGGAGTGTGCTAAGTTGCCCATTATCTCTAACATTAATGTGGGTCATGTATTCACATCCAAATAATGAGTCAAAGCCCTGCCCTTGTTCCTGTAGATTTCCAAGTTATTATAGGAAACCTTAATGTGTAACTCCATGAAGCTTTGTGTATGATGACTGCAGATAAATTATTTTTTACCGAGTATGAAATTTCAGTCAATTTTCTTGTGAGAATAACAGCTGCTTATTCACAGTTCATCTGGATGTCTTCCGGAACAGAATGACAGGCATTTTCTCTTTTTTATCTTGATGAAGGATGGAAAAACCATGGGCAGGTTGTATACAAATAAGCATCCTTATAATTATACTCCCATTTCTCAGTTGCCCCTGTTTCCTCATGCATTAATACAAAAACATGCAAAAAGACACAGCCCTACACAGTGAGACAAGGCTGGTGGACATTGAATGTACTCATTAACTTTTTAAAAAGTCATATTTCTTATAAATGTCTTATCAAACAGCCAAAATCCTGCTTTACAGTGCCAACATGATAATTGCTTTCTTTAGATGTCTGTTTTCTTTTTAATTCTGTAGTCTCTCTAGAAGCATGTGTCTGTGGTAAGCAGTCAAGAAAATAAAGAAAATGCACTGGAAATATATTTTAAATATCTTTCAAAACATTTTTGCAGTGCCTTCACATTTCATGTTTATTACCCATGTGTATGCATACACACACACACACACACACACACACACACACACCACAAATGTTAAGAACAACTTCTTCAGTGAGATCTCTAAAGCTAGCTAAATGCTTCTGATAGAAGGTAATAAACTCTTTTGGCATTGATCCTTCCTAAAAATGAAATACTTTCACACAATAGAGGAAGCTATGAAATATGAATGACAGGAGGAAAACAACTTCATTTTTTCTGGCTCTATGATTTACAGTGTAGAGATGACAACCATGGGGGAGGTAAAGAATAGTGAATTCTTCTGTGTTTGATGCTAATTTCACAGTACTACAGAGAAAAAGAACATTGTGCCATATTCTGGAACTCTTAGTGAATTTATTTAAAGATGGTCCATTAGTTCATGTCACCATGGATAACTGGTAAGTTATGAGTGTTTTCACAGATAGAATTGGGGAAGACTTCCCCAGTATTGTGGATTCACAGAGAGCTACCCTGAAAAATTACTATATTTTCCTTCCCAGTCACAAAGCTATGATTAATAACTTTAACGCAGCACCAAGATATATTCATTAATGGTTATTTAACAAATTTTTGTAAATGCATTTACTCTTCTATTCTTTAATGCCAAGAAAAGTTTCAAACTCTATGAAAATAAGATAATTTCAATTTGAAAAAGTAAAGCCAAATTCACTTTACACAAACATACCAAAAAAATGCACCTGCCTTTTCTCTGGTAGAAACTGAGAAAAGTAAACACAGTTACAATATGTATAAAGGCATTATCTCACTTTTCCTTTGGCTTATTGCTTGTTGTTTAAAATAGATTTAGAAAACTGCATTAGGGAGTATTACCATGATAGAATTAAGTTTGATTGTTTTTTGATGACTAATCGCAAAAATATTAAAACCTCTCATAGTCTGTATTTCCCAACCTTTCTTTGTTTCTGGAAATACTTTCATTATTAACTGATCTCATATTGAAAAATCCAAGTAGTTTAACATTTTAAATTTTACTATGGGATTTCATCTTTCGTTCTAGAGTGAACACATAACTTGTAACTTGCCACATTAATGATACCTTGTCTTTATCCTGACTAACCATGTACTCTTGGCCTACAACACCAATAAATCTTTGGTTATTACCCCATTCCACATTATTTACTCTATTAAGCTCTGGTCCTTGACTATTTTTTTGTCTCTGTAACTCTCTTGCAAAAAACTCTCTTGCATACACTCTAATGGGCCATGTCTTTCATGGGCAGCCATGTATTGGATCGTAAATCCCTCCTCTCAGACACTACAACCTACTGTCATTCATGTTTACAGGGTCTAAAAACTTTGATTTTTTCCTTATGTTGCATACAGTTTTTTTTTAGCTGTCTATGCATATATAATTTTAGCCATCTTCCATTTAAAATACTTTTTAGATTGCATATTTAACATTATACATTTCAGGTAACGTGTTTGCATTTTAAAAGAAGTCATGTAGAAGTAAAGTTTAGTCCCAGTCATGACTAACAGAATTTGATTTGGGGTTCCGTGGCAGTACTAGTTCCATGGATGCTATTATGAGGATTGGTTTTCATTTTAAAAAAGTTTTCAAATATAACCTGTTTGAGGTTTTTCACCTGTTCTGTTGTCATCTCAAGTATTTTTTGCCACCTACATGATTATTGTTATTTTAAGTATATTTTCATATTTTATTATGCATGGGATGCATGCGGAACCATGTGGTTATAGCTGAATGTGTTGAACACTTCATCTCCCTTTCTTTTCACCTGCCATCTCACTTCCAAGAGACAGTTGCTCAAACCAGCAGCTTCCTAAGTATTCTTCCAAAAATTTCCTGCCAACTCAAAAATGCATAAGTGTAGACTACTCTTTGTATACAATTTACATAATGTTTATTTGACTCAGTTAATTCTTCCCTCCTCCTCAACACAGTTCTTAAAGTTGGATTTTCAGATGCCCACATGACTGGTTTTACCTTTTGCCTCACTAGCTATTCCTTCTCAGTTCCAGTTGCTAGTTTCTTCTGTTCTCCCCTCAGTGTTGGAGCAGCATTAGTTTTCTCCTGTCTATCTACACCCACGCCCTTAGAGATCTCATCCAACTTCATAGTTTTAAACACCATATGCTGAAAACTCCCAAATATATATTTCCCAGCTCAGCTCTCCCAAAATCTAATCTCCTATACTCAACTTTTTTTTGGCATATCTACTTGGATATCTAATAGACATTCCAAATTCACACGTCCAAAATGAATTATAGGTCTTCACTCACAAACATATTCTATGCTCAGATTTCACGATGTCGGTCAACATCAACTCCATCCTTCCAATTACTCAAGGTGAAGTCTCTCAATCAAGCCCTTTTATGTCCTCTATTTCACTCACATTGCATATCTAATTTGCCAGCAGATCCTGTTGTCTCTACATCCACAGTATGTGTAGGATCCTACCAATTTTCATCTGTTGCTCTCTTGTCACCATGACTCCCGTAGTAGTAATTGCTTATCCAAATTACTGCTTCTAGTTCTCCAAAGATTAGCCTCAAGAGAAAATGCTATTCTTTTAGAATATGGCAGATCATGTCACCTGTCTGGTAAAAATCAACTGGTAGTTCCCAACTTACCTTAGAGGAAGTACCAAGTGTCTGTGTAGTCTGTGCCGCCTCATTTTATTTCTGATCCGTTTTCCCTGCATCCTTCCCCTTGTTCTTCTGCAGCTCTGTCCAACTCTTCTTGCTTTTCCTGGAACTTAGGAGGTTTACTCCCACCTTTGCTAGCTGTTCCCTCTGACTGGGATACTGATTACCAGCCACCTACTTGGCTAGTTACCTTCAAGCCTCTGTTTGAATCCCCCTTCTCTATGAAGGCTATCCTCTCTATTTAATATGCAAATTGTATAAAACTGTATAATACAATTTCCTTATCCTGGTCTACGTTTTTATTTTCTTATATTACATTTATTATTTACTTCCACCTCTCCTTTCTGGAATGTAAACACTTGGAGAACAGAGATCTTTGTCTTGTGTGCTCATATATTTCAAGAGATGAGAACAGTGTCTAACAGACTAACATATAGTAAGTGTTTGCTATATATCTGTAAACAGATTATATGTATAATATATAATAACATAGCATATTATATATAGCTTTTATATAAATATATAATATATATAAATCACTGTATTATGCCAGAGTTATTTATGTGATTTTAGTGTGGTATAAGCATACCCAAGCATTTATTAGCATGAGTATGCATGCATTCGTTTCATGCCTGTAATCCCAGCACTTTGGGAGTCCAAGGCAGCTGGATTACAAGGTCAGGAGATCGAGACCATCCTGGCCAACACAGTGAAACCCCGTCTCTACTAAAAATATTTTAAAAATTAGCCGGGTATGGTGGCTCGCACCTGTAGTCCCAGCTATTCCAGAGACTGAGGCAGGAGAATCACTTGAACCCAGGAGGCAGAGGTTGCAGCGCGCCAAGATCGTGCAACCGCACTCCAGCCTGGGTGATAAAGCGAGACTGTCTCTCAAACAAACAACAAACAAAAACAAAAAAGAAAAAGATTTTAAAAAGTCATCTTATATATTTGCTTATAATAAGAAAAATATGGTTGAATTTTAAAACTGAAAAATGAAACATCTGCAGCATCTGCAGTACTTAGTTTGTTCTGGTTTGTGTGTGACTAATTTTGTGGTTTCAATCGCACTTGACAAATTAAAATCAGAGTTTTAACTTATTGTTTATAAAGACTCCTCAATGGTGGTAGAGGATAAATTAGAGGTAAAATTACCTCTGCCTGCCATTCTTTTTGCATCGAATATTTAGCTACTTTACCCTTTATGCTTTTAAATGTTCAGCCATTTACAAACTACAATGAAATTGTGGTTGTGCATTTATACAAGCACGTGTACAAACATGTGTCTACTTATGTGTTTCTGGGTTTGTAGTTAAGTTGACTTAAAGCAAATTAGAGTTTATAAACCGTGAAGGGTATAAGTAATTTCAAGTGTTGGCTGGGCATGGTGGCTGACACCTGTAATCCCAGCACTTTGGGAGGCCGAGGCAGGAGGAACACATGTGTCAGGCGTTCAAGACCAGCCTGGCCAACATGGTGAAACCCTGTCTCTACTAAAAATGTAAAAAATTAGCCAGACGTGATGGTGGGTGCCTGTATTCCCAGCTACTCGGGAGGCTGTGGCAGAATTGCTTGAACCCAGGAGGCAGAGGTTGCAGTGAGCCGAGATAGCACCATTGCACTCCAGCCAGCCTGGGCAACAAGAGCGAAACTTCATCTCAAAAAAAAAAAAAAAAAAAGACAAGTAATTTTGATTGTAAACTAGCATAGGGACACACATGCATACACATGCACAGAGATAAGAAACATGTAAATGATGTTTATGAAGTATAAGAATTGTATCCATTTAAATAAATTGTAAATATTTTCATCTATTTTGTTGTTGTATGATATTTAACCCCTTTTGTTGTAGCATGATATTTAACCCCTTAATTTTTCTAACTCTTGTCCTACAAAAAAATCTATGCTACATCAAGAAAGCAATAGAAAGAATAAGAAACTTTCAAATATATTGAGTAGACATAATCGTGTTAACAAAAACACCGACACTACCAACAACAAAAACTTTTATCTTAAGTGACAAATTTGCCTAAAAGGCTAATCTATACATTTTAAGGCTGGGCACAGTGGCTCATGCCTATCATACCAGCACTTTGGGAGGCTGAGGTGGGTGGATTGCATGAGCCAAGAGTTCAAGACCAGCCTGGGTAACATGATGAAATCCCATCTCTATTAAAATACAAAAATTAGCCTGGCATTGTGGCGTGTGCCTGTAGTCCTAGCTACTCAGGAGGCTGAGGTGGGAGAGAGGATCCCTTGAGCCCAGGAGGCAGAGGTTGTAGTGAGCCAAGATCATGCCACTGCACTCCAACCTGACAACAGAGTGAGACCTCATCTCAAAATACACACACACACACACACACACACACACACACACACAGACACTCTCACACACCCATTTTAAGAAATGAATATTACCTTTAGGTAAATCCCCCTTTGCCTGCCTTTAATGGAGGTGTTGCTATTGTTCTTTCAATATTAATAAAATTAACCAGTGAATCAGTTTTATTAGTTATGCTACAGTCATGGAAATAGAGCCCATTCTAAATTTTATGAGAACAAGAGATTCAATTTTAGAATGACTTACACAAATGAGTTGTAAGCTGAGGAAGTGAGAGTCTGGAAGGTGGAGGCTGAGGATCAGAGAGAATAAGCCACTCTCTTTGCTGCCTGAAGCACGGGTGCAGGTGAACCAGTCAAAGTTGGCAAGAAAATCTGGGAATCCAAGCACATTCAGCCACTAGGATGGTGGGACCATGATAGGGTGCTCATAAGAGGTCTACAAGAAGCTGTTGCCCCCTTTGAACAACTACTTCTACGGGTCTACAGCCAAGGAAATAGAGATGAGTGCTTAAGGCTGCTGTTTTTCAGCATGACCGTCATCAGGGTTAAGAGCTGAATGAAGAAAATGGCAAAGCAAGGACAAGCTGGGCCCACTTGCCCCCTCTGGATCTTTCCATCAAATATCTCCCTACAATGACCTTGGAGAATAATGGTTATTTTTTCACTTCTGCCTTCAAATTGTGCTGAAATTGCATTTCTGGTCAATTCTCAATCAGCAACCATCGGGTAGAGGAATCTGTGAAGTATGCTACCCGTTTCACCAAATTGATATATAGGACAGAGCAGTAGGTCTATTCCTTTACACACTGGCTTCCAAGCACACTTCTTTCAACTGTTTAACTTCCACGTCAAAGAAATAGCAAAATTAGGCTTCTATCTACCATGATCATATTATGACTCAACAGCTAAGTATAGTTTCCATGTAAATTCTATTTAATGTTTATTATCTAATTATATTTAATCAGCCTGTTTTAATTTCATGGTCTAGTATAACTCAAGCCATAATATAAAGCAACATGTCATAAAATGTTCAACACTTCAATTCATCCAGAATGTACATTGAAAAGTATGATGTGATCCTTTACTCTCTTCATAATAACATATTTTTACATGACTAAAATGTCAACAACCTATTGGTGTTTTGACATATGTTTCTGTGTAATACAAATTGTTTATCTGACATATGGCAATAGTCTGAAGGACCTAATAACATTTTTTTAATTATACGATTTTTTCTTTATGTATTTAGGATTATTTTATTTTATTTTAATTTTTATTTTTGAGACAGCATCTTGCCCTGTTGCCCAGGCTGAAGTGTACTGACAAGATCATGGCTCACTGTAGCCTCAACGTGCTGGGCTCAAGCAATCCTCCTGCCTCAGCCTTCAGAGGAGCTAGGACCACACCCAGCTAATTTTTTTAAAATTTTTGTTCGTAGAAACAGGGTCTACTGTGTTGCCCAGTCTGGTCTCGAACTCCTGAGCTCAAGCGATCCTCCTCCCTCAGCCTCCCAAAGTGCTGGGATTACAGGCATAAGCCACCATACCTGCCTATTTGGGATTATTTTATAGTGAATTTGATGTCCCAAGATTATATTATTTTTTGTGTCTTTCTTTCATTTATATATTAGGTCACTAAATCAATATTTACTGTCACACTCTGTTGCTCTAAGCATTATGTGTATAGTATTGAAAAGAACAAAGTTCATGTCTACATAAGACTTTATATGATATTCTTCTTTAGCTTCAATTTATATCTCTCATTAAATGATAGTTCCATTGGCATGAAGAAGTTCAGATAAGAAATTTCAGAAAATGAATGAAAGCAGGAGTTCTGGATTGGTCACAGCCTTGAATTTCCCAAAGACATGGTGGAAATAGTTACAGTATTCATTGTAGGGATCACTTTATTTACATGGTTACCCTTAGTTTTCAGAATTCGCTGTAATGGAATTGCGGCAATTTTATAACAGGAAACTTACAACTTTGTTTAATTTTTTTTTGAATAAACACCTGAATTCAAAACAGCCCATCACAATTGTTAGTTTACACGGCTTTCTTGCACTCAGTGGAAAAGAGGCATTTCAATAAAATTTTGTCCATGTTATGTAGAAAGATTGGAGGTTAAAACATAAAAAGCCCCTTAAAAAGCATCAGGACTGGCTGGGCGCAGTGGCTCATGCCTGTAATCCCAGCACTTTGGAAGGCCGAGGTAGGTGGATCAGGAGGTCAGGAGTTTGAGACCAGCCTGGCTAACATAGTGAAACCCTGTCTCTACAAAAAATACAAGAAAAAAAAATTAGCCGAGAATGGTGGTGCATGACTGTAGTCCCAGCTACTCAGGAGGCTGAGGCAGGAGTATCACTTGAACCCAGGAGGAAGAGGTTGTGGTGAGCTGAGATCGCATCACTGCACTTCAGCCTGGACAACAGAGCGAGACTCTGTCTCAAAAAAAAAAAAAAAAAAGAGAAAGAAAGAAAAAAAGAAAAAAAAGCACCAGGATTTTCTGTGCCTAGTGTCACATAATTATTTCTTTTTAGAGTAGGCATTGATTCCTTGTCCAAATCCTCTTGCACTATTTGAAATTTTGTATTCCACAGATCACCCTTCATGTAACTGGTTGTGAAGGAAAGAATTCATACCATACTCTTCCTATGCAGACATTGCTACAGTTGAACAATAGCTCAGCTGCTCTCTCTCTGGGAACAAAGGAAGATTGCAGTTTCCAACATCATTGAAATTAGCTGGCCTCTAACTTAGTTTACTAAGTGAAAATGACACAGTAGGACAATCACTTCCCTGAAGGAGAAGTTAATTGCTGGCTCTTTATTGTCCAGTCCTCCTCCCAGGGCCATGCCAAGTATGGAAACAGGAGATGATTTTGGAACTGATGAGCCATCACATTGAGGACAGCTTTCTGGAGATTTGCCCAGATTCACAGTTGACTTTGGATGAGTGAGAAATAAATAAATATAGAATACAAGAAGGTGAGATTAATCGTTTGTTAGTGGAGGATTCTAATGCTGAGTGAAAATACAATTCCCTTGTCAGAAATAGCTTACTGGTAAAATAATACCATAGAAAAATTCTAAGATTCACGGAGAGATAATCATGACTAATGAATAATCACTAAATAAACCCATCTTCTTATTAGTAAGATTATTCTCCTTGATCTAGCCCCCATTCAAAGAATAAAAATGAATATTTACTTCTATTTTTTACTCCTAAAAGTGGAAGACTGTTCAAAAAATAATTAACTGCCCAAGAAAATGGTAATGGAGGACACATTTGAAATAGCAATATAACAATGCTGCTTCCCATCTGCAATATTTCCTTTAGGATATCCTAGTTTTCCATATTTTACAAATCTTTCAATAATGTGACTGTTTTTCATTTCCAGAATATTTTTGCAAATCGAGAACAAGAAGATAGAATAGGCCAAAGCAGATTGTAAAAAAGCAGAAATGTTATATGTGAACAGAGTGTAGACATTAATATAAAAATAATCATGATATGACAAATAGGTTCATATCTAGTATTCCAAAAGAGGTGTATGTTTTAACAAAAGGCTGACAAATTCTTGCAGGAGACATCTTCGAAATCCTTCTCATTGCAGTATTTTGCTAAATAGAAATGCAAATTTATTACAAGATTAGACAGCTTTTTATTTTATGAGCACATTTCATGCGTTTTTATTTGCTAAAATGCTAAGCTTATATTCCATAGTGGCTTACTTTTATTTATCTCCCCCTCTTTTGATCTCCCTCTCTACTCTCCTTCCTCACTCTTTTTTCTACCTCTCCTTCTCTTCTTTCCTTTTTATCCCCTCTTGTTTTCTTCCTTATTTCCTTTCCTTTGCTTTTCTTTCCTTTTTCAGAAGTGTATGTCAAATGGCTTATTCTTGGTAAAAATAGCGTATAAAATATGATCCATTGGAATACCATACATTTGCCAGTAAAATTTGTTATGATAGATAGTTGAACATAATTGATGTTGTAAGTACATTTCTAAGTACATGCCCCTTAATATTAGTAATAAATTAATTGGCTTCCAAGACACTTGATCTCCTGAGTGTGTGATTTCCATAAAATAAGTGTAACCTCATTTATTCAGAGCCATAACTTTTTCTTTGCTTTGTGTTGAAAGGGAATAAGTTTGAAAAAGAGAGCTTTTAAACTACACCTGTTTTAAAATCACAGTGAAAGAAAACATCGTTTTATAATAAATGTGCTCATTAAAATTAACATCCTTAAATACTACACACCTAGGAGAACTCTACTTGCAAACCTTTCTGTTGGTGTTGAGGTCAAATTAATTAAGTACATTAAATCTCTCTGCAAATATCCTGTCATTCTTTCCAGTCTCCTCTATAATTATTATAAATTAGTCAGTTATTTTATTTTCCCACTGTGCTCTTTGAAAATCAGCATCCTGGCTGTCAAATATAAGACATGAAAAAAGGCCATTTGACCCTGTTTCTCACTTTCCTAACTGGCACAGCAGAAGTGGTACTGATGCTGAACACTCACCTATTCCAGAGGAAAAGAGGTTTAGCTAATGAATGAAGAATTTTGCAATTATAAAGTGCAATAGACACAACAAAAACACTTTGTGTTCAGTTGTTGAAGGTCAAGGATTATTCACTAAAACATCTGATAGTCATGCTGTCTAGTCTATCTCATGGGGAAATGGTGAGGGCAGAGTTAATGGAGGGTCATGTCCTTTGGTTCAAAACAAAGCTAAAGAGGACTGTTGCATGTCTTATATAGAGTGGTTATTTCTAAGGGAAGTTTATTTCCTCCCGGTGGCTTTGTTTGATTTAGAAAATAACCATGTGCTATAATGTTGGCTATTTGGTCAATTAAAAAGATTTTCCAAGACAGATGATGAAATTCTGGTATAATGTAATACATCTTGATTTAATCAAATGACTGTTACAATATTATACATTATGATTATTATTTTAAAAAACTTGCCAATTATGTGCTCCTAAAAGAAAAGAATATATTCCGACAGAGAGCTTTTCAAATAATTAAAAACACTGAATAAACAAAGAAAAGAAACCATGACCTAGTTTTCCTGTGTTTTCTAAAATAACTCTATATTCCAAATATGTACAAACTCTTATTTTGCAAGTTCTTGATAGTTAAGTGAAAATATTTTGCTATGCAATTAGCAGTAAGGTACTCAATGTTTGTATCAATTATTTAGCAATGAAAAGGTGTGTCTTTTTTAATTGTAATATGACTTTCACATCAACATTCTGCATAGTTTGCATTTTAAACCTTCTTGGTGATTTCACAAAACAGGTGGCTGTAAGGCATCTTCACTGAATCTCAACTATGTGGCCAGCACTGTGTTCTGGCCTGTAGAGAATATGATCAATACAGTTTTCTCCTTACTTTCTTTGTACTCTTCTCCAGCCAGTGAGCTAGCAGCACAGCACATTGGGATATTGTCAGAACATAGAAAAGATTCCAGATCTTTTTGTATTGATTCTATTGGTTACATTCCGTTTACTGTGGCATTAAGTCCAGATTCTATCAAAAGTTAAAATGCATTTCAAACCACTAGATATCTACCTGGGGAAACCTTGAAAAGCAGTTATCTAAACTAAGGAAAAAAGTTAGGCATGCAAAACTTAAATTCATCACTGGCTGTAGAGCACTTGGCTGGGGAATATATATTTTAAGAGAAAATTTTGAATTTTGAAAATGAAATTTTTGCTGATTAAAAAGATGCTCATTTTAAAAATTTAAATAAAAACACCTGAATGGCGCTGAAGATGCATATCAGGTGTGAAAGGATAATTATCATTGATTTAGTAAGGACATTATTGGGCCTCTGAAGTGCAAGAGCAAAAATAATATTTGTATCAAAGATATTTGTTGGTGATTGAAATGTTTGCTCCTTCTCACAGTTGTTCCTAGTCTCCCACAAAACCACCTACTTGTCAAAGACTGAAATAAATTACAGAGTGAAGGAAAGAAACAGTAATATTTTTTAAAAAATCTTCCCATATGAAAAATATATTTAGAATATCTGTGTTATAATTAGATTTAAACTTTTAAAATACTTCTTTATCCTTATATATCTATTTCTTTCTGGCTTACTTCAGGGGTGTCTCTCATTGACACGTTGATAATAAACCTAATTCCCAGACCTCTCTGCGTATCTCACCCCATACATTTTCTCTGAGCAAAATCAACACTCTAATAATTTTAACAAGCGCTTATATTCAAAGTATTCCTGAATGGGCACCTAAAGCCGTGGCCAATTTCTTAAACTTCAGACTTTGCTGAGACAGAACAAACTTGTGACACCGTTACTCCCATCCTCCCAATATTTACAGATATATTGGCTAACGTTTTAATATGTTTACTTTATGTAAGGTACTATACTAAGTACTTTAACATACATTATCACAGTTAATGCTCCAATAATCTTCCAAGCAACTACATTTTCCATTCTGTATATGAAGGTGCCAAGTCTCAAAAAAGTTTGATGTCAAGGTCACAAAACTAATTAAGTGGAATAGCTGAGTTAGAAGCCAGTTGTTTCTGATGCCAAAGCCCATCCTTTTAGATATGATTTATAACTTTTTTTATTTTTATTCTAGTCAGTAATAACATCTCCCATTCAGTCATGAAAATCTGTGACTTGGAAGTGGCTTTGACCTTTTCTTCTTCACCAGTACCTGCCGAATCAAGATTAGATAAGTTGAATTCTAAGTACCTTTCAAAAATATTTCTATTTACTATTATTTTATGTGGATTTAATTTTTTTTTTGGGGGGGACAGAGTCTTGCTTTGTCACCCAGGCTGGAGTGCGGTGGTGCAATCTCGGCATACTGTAACCTCCACCTCCCAGCTTCAAGCAATTCTCTGCCTCAGCCTCCTGAGTAGCTTGGATTACAGGCGCTCGCCACCGCGCCCAGCTAATTTTTTTTGTATTTTTAGTCGAGACGGGGTTTCACCATCTCGGCCAGGTTGGTCTTGAACTCCTGACCTCGTGATCCACCCGCCTCGGGCTCCCAATGTGCTGGGATTACAGGTGTGACCCACCGTACCCGGCTGGATTTAATAATTTTTACTGCAAAATTAGTGACAGCCTAGTCTTCCTGGTTTTTGTTTTTATAATTTATATTTTGGAATATAGCTAATGTAATCTATCCAGGAGGAACTGGCCATATCCCTTCACTTGACATCCTCCATTTACTTCCTATAAAGTTTAAAGACCTAGACATAACACTCACCATGCTCTGTCTTGTACTTTTCCAGGCTCATTTGAAATACACACACACACACACACACACACAGACACACACACACACACACAAACTCCAAAACCCCTACCTTCCTTTGTCTCTCCTATTTCATTTCTCAGAATCATCTCAATTCTCTTTCACTAATTCACATTTATATTTGAATATTCTACTCAATCGTTTTCTTAGAAAACTTTTCTTGAGTTCTCCTCATCCTCCAAAAAAGTTTTTTCTTTATAGAAATATATATTTCTCTGCTTCCCCTTATTTCATATTATTCATTTTATTGATTTGTCTCTCAACTTAAACTATGAACATTTGAGAAAATCAGTAGGAACTGATTTATTCTTGAATCTCTCATCTTTTAATATTTGAATCTCAGAATATAGGATACAATAGGCACTAAATTATGCCTAAACTGATCTAAGATAGGCTTCATAAATTATATAAAATAGCTGATTTAAGAAAAGTTATGTTGATATGGTTAATGAGGAGTTTATGTTGTTTCATTTTTTAGCATATTTAAGTTTGTTATCAGTGTTTAATATTAATCATATATATTATGTAATAATGATTCAGAAAATTATAGTGCACATACATTTAATAGAGAAGTGAATAATTTTCTTTCTCTCTAATGGAATATATTAAAATTAAGTTAATATAATAAAATAATTGGACTTAGATTTTAAAATCAAATTTGATGATGTTTTACATGAAATTCAATTCTAAAGGCAATTTGAAAAATGATACATTATCTCTTTCTAGGAATCAGAAAATAATTAGAAACAGAAAATATAGAAAGATGTATATATATGTACACACACAGAAGAAAACTATATAAAAAGGAGAGCACGTAACTATTTGATTTGAAAATAAGGGAGAACTTCAAAAGCAGAAAGTGCCTCCTTTTTCTAATTATATATATTAATTATAACAGATCATTAGGGGGAATATCATCATTTAAAAAATATCCAGATAACTCAAGTCAATACTCTGATTAGGGTTCATTCACAGTACAGGATAATATTCATGAACTATGCTGTAATGAAATTATTATTGGCATATATATACATGTATACATACATAAATTGCTAATTTTAGGGTTTTTATAAATATGTAAATATTAACCATGTTATTTTCATATACCTATTAGAAATACATTAAACAAAACTTTTCTTAAACAATTTAATTGTCTAATCCCATCTTTAGAATAGATGAAAATTTTGTCTTGTGATTCACATGACGGAAATTCATGTTTCACCTTTCTTACCATGAAATAGATTAATTAGCCAGGTTTATTCATCCTTTTGATGATATCGCCTGAGGAAGACATTCATTTTATAGCAAAAGTAGGCTTTGATTTAGCCTTTTAAAAAATCATTTAGCCTTTAGTAGTGATGTGTGATATAATGAAAATATTATATAACCTAATATCTGGTACATATGTTTTATGCTGACATAAATACAAAAGGAAAACCACTAACGTTAAAAAGCTGTGGTTTTTCAGGTTCATCTGTAAGTCACCTACTGTCATAATATTGCTGTATCATAGACCATCCACAACCAACTTTTATTCTCATGCTCAGGTGTGTCTACCAGTTAACTGTGGTTCCACTGATGAAGAGTAGCCTTTGCTGGACAACTTTGTCTCAGGCTCTGGTCAGCAAGAGTAAGGTCATTGTCAATGTATTTATTCTGGGGATGCATAAGTGGCAATGACTACTTGGGGTAGAAGTATCTCATTGTGAGAACAGAAATAGAAAAGGTCCACGCCAAAGTGAATATGAGCATTTCACATGTCTGTTCTCTTCAAGGTTGCCAATATCACATTAGGCAAACAAGACACATAGCCAAGCCTCAGTTAAAGCCAAGCCTCAGTTAAACTGTGGCACTCCTCCTATCAGTAGACCAAGACAAGACTGCGATTGTGTAATTTTCACACAATGGATGAAATAACTGGGACCACTAATTCAATCCATCAAATCCTTTCAGTATCTTGTGTAGGTAATGTAAAATAACAGCCACCTCAGATTTCTTATCTATAAAATATCGTGTATCTTGAGGGTGATAGAAATATTTGCAAGATATTGTAAAGTATATGAGATAGCATTTATAGAGTGTCAAAAAGTTTTGAGGTTGCATGACTCTAAAAAATATTAAACTGCAGATAGTTAACTAAGTTGTCCCAAGTCCTCCAGTTAGTATAAGACAGAAACATAATTTAAATCTACTCATGTCTGAATTAAAAATTTGTCATTTTCCTCACTATAGTATGCCTCCATTTTTCCCCAATAACTCATCTATTATTAGAAGTTATTCTATGGAAAATGAATTATGAAATTGACCAAACTTCCTTCAGTTTATTCAATAATGAGAATCAAACTCCTTTTGAGGCTGCCACTTTGACCTTCAGAAAAATTGAAAATTATCTTTGTCTAACTTTTTTTGCTATTCTTTATTTGAGCCCAGGAAAATATAGAAAATAATAACTTTTCCATTAGCATATGTGAGTAATCAATAAAATACCTGTTAAGTGAATGGAGATATGAATGAAAATATATATATAAACATACAACTATCATGTTCACCATCCCTGACATCTTAATCAATGCTTCGAACAAGTCTTCATGTACATCATTCCTGTCATATTGCTCTGCCTAAAATTACCTGTATTTCTGTGTACTTGGAGAAGCCATTGATTTTCTAGCACGCACAGAATACAATGAGAATCATGATATCCATCCATGCAAGATATTATAATCCAAACAACTTTCTCTTGGGTCACATTAGTTTAATGATCACTATAAATATTTATTCCTTCAGCGGACTTTATTCTTAGGTCTTTTCCACCACACGCTGTTATTGGATTCAGTCACTGAGATCTGCTTTTCAATTTATTTCAGGTTGTTAACTATCCCTTCCTACTTCGTGTCAACCAGAAGTATGTATATAACCTTTAACTTGGATATGTAGATTAGCATTTAAATAGAATATGGTCAATGGCAGATCCCAGTGACATTTTTAAAGTAATGCCTATCAAATTTTTTTATCCAAAACCAGCATCATTTTGATAAGACCATTTGTTCAGTCTACAATTACCTAATTAAAAATATATTTCCCCAATATCTTTCCATTTTTTTGCTGATATATAACCTATAACCTATAATGATATTATTTATAGACAATTCTTTCTTCTCAGATTCACTGAACCATAAACCTTTTGATCCATTTAGGGTAAGGGTTTGCACTTATTTCCACCTGCTGCCATGTAATTGTTATGTATTTTCTAATCAGATTATTTGCCCTTTTCATATGCTACAAGTTATTTCTGCCTCTGGATCCCACAATGAAACCGTATAATCCAAATGCGGTAGTCTTCTCCAGATTATAGGACTTTCTCAGTTCTATAAATGAGGAACTTTAGAACAAATGCCCATATTATTTTACTTTTTAAATAATTTTTATTAAGTATTTAGTAGACAAAAATGAGTGCTTGTTAACAATATGCTAAGCCCAATGAATAAGAACTCAAAGAAGAACAGAATAAAATTAGTATTATTAATTTTGAAGTACCCTGAGCACTCATTGCAGTTTCCATCCCTTCATTCCTGCTTTAAAGGCAGTTAATATTGTGAACTTTGAGGTTATCATTCTCTTACTTCTTTACAGTCTTAAAAAATGTCTATTACCTTAACCAATATACTATTTCAGTTTTAAGTTCTTTGGATTTACATCAATGATTAATGCCATGTATACTATTCTGAGATGCACACGTACAGTTAAGAAAGGCAAGATGTTGTCAACATGAAGAGCCTGGCCTCAGTGGGCAGACTACCTAGGTTTGACTCCTGGCTCCTGTATCTATCAGCAAATTATATAACTTGTTTTGTGCTTCAATGTGGTGCCCCAGTAGGGAGTCTTTGTGGGGGCTCCCACCCCCGTTTCCCTTCTTCACTGCCCTAGCAGAGGTTCTCCATGAGGACCTCTTTACAGTCTTATAAATGTTTCTTTATAGTCTTAAAAATGTCTATTACCTTAACCAATATATTATTTCAGTTTTAAGTTATTTGGATTTACAACAAAGATTAATGCCAGGTGTACTATTATGCCTGGGCATCCTGACATTTTCACACATCTGAAATCTAGGCGGAGACCTCAAGTCTTGAATTCTGTGTACTCGCAGGCTCAACACCACATGGAAGACGCCATGGCTTAAGGCTTGCACCCTCAGGAGCCACAGCCCGAGCTCTACATTGGCCCATTTCAGCCATGGCTGGAGGGGCTGGGACTCAGAGCACCAAGTCCCTAGGCTGCACACACAGGGAGACTCTGGGCCCAGCCCAGGAAACCACTTTTTTTCTTAAACCTGTGGGCCTGTAACGGGAGGGGCTGCTGCAAAGGTCTCTTACATGTTCTGGAGATATTTTCCCCATTGTCTTGGGAATTGACATTCTGCTCCTCGTTACTTATGCAAATTTCTGCATCCAGCTTGAATTTCTCCTCAGAAAATGGGATTTTCTTTACTATTGCATTGTCAGACTGCAAGTTTTCCAAACTTTTATGCTCTGCTTTCCTTATAAAACAGAATGCCTTTAACAGCTCCCAAATCACCTCTTGAATGCTTTGCTGCTTAGAAATTTCTCCCTCCAGATACCCTAAATCATCTTTCTCAATCTCAGATTTCAACAAATCTATGGGCAGGGGCAAAATGCCACCAGTCTCTTTGTTAAAACATAGTAAAAGTTACCTTTGCTCCAGTTCCCAACAAGTTCTTCATCTCCATCTGAGACCACCTTAGCCTGGACCTTATTATTCACATCACTATCAGCATTTGTGTCAAAGCCTTTCAACAAGTCTCTAGGAAGTTCCAAACTCTCCCACATTTTCCTGTCTTCTTCTGAGCCCTCCAAATTGTTCCAATCTCTGTCTGTTACCCAGTTCCAAAGTCGCTTCCACATTTTTGTGTACCTTTTCAGCAGTGCCCTACTCTACTGGTACCAATTTACTGTATTTATCTATTTTCATGCTGCTGATAAAGACATGCCAGAAACTGGGCCATTTACAAAGGAAAGAGCTTTAATGGAGAAGTCACATTTCCACGTGGCTCAAAATCATGGTGGAAGGCAAGGAGGAGCAAGTCACATCTTACATGAATGGCAGCAGGCAAAGAACGAGCTTGTGCAGGGCAACTCCCATTTTTAAAACCATCAGATCTCATGAGGTCCATTCACTATCATAAAAACAGCACAAGAAAGACCCAGCCCCATAATTCAATCATCTTCCACCATGTCTGTCCCACAATACATGAGAATTATGGCAGCTACAAGATAAGATTTGGGTGGGGACTCAGAGAGCCAAACCATATCACTTCCTGAGTTGACTATGTCCTCTAGTACACTGGCCAATGGAAATGAGATTACTTTGACTCTTGCTAGAACTTATATGCTTACTGGTTATTCCACTAATTCATCAATTAGTGAATGACATGTGTCCTAAAATATATATGCAGACTGACTAATTATCAGCATCTACACTGACTCAAGTTACCACCATTCTATTTCTAGGTATTTGCAAATTTCTCCCTTCTGCCCTTTGCCACCAGTATTTGGTCTTTAACACAACTCCTAGTTTGATCTTCCCAATAGGAGAGTTGGGTCATATCACTACACAAGTCTGCTGAAAACTCTCCAGTGGCTTCACATTGCATTCTGAGTACAAGCCAATTGTGTACAGAGGACTTACAATGTTTTAGAACACTCCACATGATCTACCCTTGCCTGACTTTTTTCTCTGCCCTAGTTCCCTACTAATCTTCCCCTTAGTCATTGATCCATGTTTTTACTTACTCACTCACATTTGGCCAAGCAGCCTTTGCTGTTTCTTAATCAAACCAGACAAAATCCCAATTCAGGGCTTTTGTGCTTTTTGCTATTTACTCTTCCAAGAACATATTTTTATCAGATATTTGCTTGGCTTACTCTAACTTTCTTCGGATCTTTATTTAAATATCATCTTCTCACTCAGTAAGACTTACCTTGCTCACTCTACCATCCTATCTAAAATTGTAAGCCTAACCCACATTTAATAAATCTTTCCCAGACATTATTTAATGTATCTAATTTGTTGTCTCCTTTTTCTAAAAAATTATATATGTGTAAGTATATATATGTACATTTGTACAAATGTACACACACACACATACCCACACCAAAAAGACAGAGGGTATTTTTTAATTTTGTTTCTTGCTATATTATCAGTGTCTAGAACTACACATGGCTCCTAGTAAACATTAATAATAGCTTTTGTGTGAATGGATTAAGAAATAAATGAATGGGTAAATGAATGCGTGATTGTAGAGATATCTCTATTTCTTTGTATAATTATTCTGTGACCCTTTTTATCTTTGGTAATACAGTTTTTCTCACAAGCCTTTTTGAATTTATTAATGTCACAACAAATTATTTTGTTAGTATTTTCTTTTATATATAAATATATGTATCCTTTAACTTTCTATAGATATATAAATTTTGGACAAACATATATATATAAATTTTGGACACACATATATATTAATTTTGGATATGCATCTTGTAAACATAAACTAATGCTATTGTTGTTATGTTGTTTAAAATACAATCTGACAATCTTAGACTGTAACTGCTGACATATTTGAATTTTTTTCTCTATCTTATTTTGTAATTTTTATTTATTAAATATTTGCAAAGTTTATTCATGTCTACTTCTTTACTTTTTATTTATTTCTTTTAAGATAGATTTGGTTGCTGTACTTTAGAATTTTTAAAAATCCCTGACTATTTAATGCTTATGTTGGTAATTTATCATGCACATTTATGAATGTCTAAAGACATTCTATATGTTTATCCTCCTCCTGAGAAATACAAGGTTTTTAGACAACCTCACTACTGATCATATTGGATTTTTATTTATTTATATGTTATTTACATTTATAAAAACACTTTCACATGCTTACTCATTTGTATGTGTATGCTTTTCATATACAAATTTTGTGAGAAATTTCCCCCATATTTGCAAACTTAATTGCTAATAATTTTTTCTTGTATGTAAAATATTTCATCTGGATCATCCATTTTTCATCTTAAATATATGCTTGAGAATTATATTTGGGAGGGTTTGACAGTTACACACTCAGTTTCTGTGTGCTTGAAAATATCTTTGTTTCACCATTACTACTGGTAAAGAATATTTTTGCTTTGTATACAATCTTTAGTTGACCATTTTCTCTACATGAATTGAAAATATTAGTCCATTGTCTTCTAGTTTCCATTGATGCTATGATTAGTCAGATGTAAGTCTAATTACAATCTCTTTCAAGGGATATATTTATGTTCTTGGAGTTATTATCTCTTTATCATTATTATATGAATTTATTTGCATTGGTTTCCATTTATTTTGATTGAGATTTATGTCACCTTTGGGTTATTTGAGTTAGTATTTGTATTAATTTGTTCTCACACTGCTATAAAGAACTTCCTGAGACTGGGTAGTTTATAAAGAAAAGAGATTTAATTGATGCACAGTTCTGCAAGGCTGGGGAAGCATCAGAAAACTTACAATCATGGCAGAAAGGGAAGCAGGCATGTCTTACATGGCAAAGAGAGAGCAAAAAGCCCTGGGGAAACTGCCATTTATAAAACCATCAGATCTCCTGAGAACTCCCCCTATTATCATGAGAACAGCATGGGGGAAACTGCCCCCATGATCCAATCACCTCCTGCCAGGTCCCTTTCTCAACACTTGGGGATTACAATTTGAGAAGAGATTTGGTTGGCGACACACAGCCTAACCATATCAGGATTTGTATTAGTATGTTTTCATGCGGCTAATGAAGACATACCCAAGACTGGGCAATTTACAAAGGAAAGATGTTTAATGAACTTACAGTTCCAAATGGCTGGGGAGGCCTCACAATCATGATGGAGGAGCAAGTGAGGTCTTACATGAGTGGCAGCAGGCAAAGAGAGAGATTGTGCATGGCAACTCCCATTTTTTTAAAAATTATTATTATACTTTAAGTTTTAGGATAGATGTGCACAATGTGCAGGTTTGTTACATATGTATACATGTGCCATGCTGGTGCGCTGCACCCATTAACTCGTCATTTAGCATTAGGTGTAACTCCTAATGCTATCCCTCCCCCCTCCCCCCACCTCACAACAGTCCCCGGAGTGTGATGTTCCCCTTCCTGTGTCCAAGTGTTCTCATTGTTCAATTCCCACCTATGAGTGAGAACATGCGGTGTTTGGTTTTTTGTCCTTGCGATAGTTTGCTGAGAATGATGGTTTCCAATTTCATCCATGTCCCTACAAAGGACATGAACTCTTCATTTTTTATGGCTGCATAGTATTCCATTGTGTATATGTGCCACATTTTCTTAATCCAGTCTATCCTTGTTGGACATTTGGGTTGGTTCCAAGTCTTTGCTATTGTGAATAGTGCTGCAATAAACATACATGTGCATGTATCTTTATAGCAGCATGATTTATAATTCTTTGGGTATATACCCAGGAATCGGATGGCTGGGTCAAATGGTATTTCCAGTTCTAGATCCCTGAGAAATGGCGACACTGACTTCCACAATGGTTGAACTACTTCACAGTCCCACAAACTGTGTAAAAGTGTTCCTATTTCTCCACATCCTCTCCAGCACCTGTTGTTTCCTGACTTTTTAATGATTGCCATTCTGACTGGTGTGAGATGGTATCTCATTGTGGTTTTGATTTACATTTCTCTGATAGCAAGTGATGATGAGCATTTTTTCATGTGTTTTTTGGCTGCATAAATGTCTTCTTTTGAGAAATGTCTGTTCATATCCTTTGCCCACTTTTTGATGGGGTTGTTTGTTTTTTTCTTGTAAATTTCTTTGAATTCATTGTAGATTCTGGATATTAGCCCTTTGTCAGATGAGTAGGTTGCGAAAATTTTCTCCCATTCTGTAGGTTGCCTGTTCACTCTGATGGTAGTTTCTTTTGCTGTGCAGAAGCTCTTTAGTTTAATTAGATCCCATTTGTCAATTTTGGCTTTTGTTGCCATTGCTTTTGGTGTTTTAGACATGAAGTCCTTGCCCATGCCTATGTCCTGAATGGTATTGCCTAGGTTTTCTTCTAGGATTTTTATGGTTTTAGGTTTAACAGGTAAGTCTTTAATCCATCTTGAATTAATTTTTGTATAAGGTGTAAGGAAGGGATCCAGTTTCAGCTTTCTACATATGGCTAGCCAGTTTTCCCAGCACCATTTATTAAATAGGGAATCCTTTCCCCATTGCTTGTTTTTGTCAGATTTGTCAAAGATCAGATAGTTGTAGATATGCAGCATTATTTCTGAGGTCTCTGTTCTGTTCCATTGATCTATATCTCTGTTTTGGTACCAGTACCACACTGTTTTGGTTACTGTAGCCTTGTAGTATAGTTTGAAGTCAGGTAGCGTGATGCCTCCAGCTTTGTTCTTTTGGCTTAGGATTGACTTGGCAATGCAGGCTCTTTTTTGGTTCCATATGAACTTTAAAGTAGTTTTTTCCAATTCTGTGAAGAAAGTCATTGGTAGCTTGATGGGGATGGCATTGAATCTATAAATTACCTTGGGCAGTATGGCCATTTTCATGATATTGATTCTTCCTACCCATGAGCATGGAATGTTCTTCCATTTGTTTGTATCCTCTTTTATTTCATTGAGCAGTGGTTTGTAGTTCTCCTTGAAGAGGTCCTTCACATCCCTTGTAAGTTGGATTCCTAGGTATTTTATTCTCTTTGAAGCAATTGTGAATGGGAGTTCAGTCATGATTTGGCTCTCTGTCTGTTATTGGTGTATAAGAATGCTTGTGATTTTTGTACATTGATTTTATATCCTGAGACTTTGCTGGAGTTGCTTATCAGCTAAAGGAGATTTTGGGCTGAGACAATGGGGTTTTCTAGATATACAATCATGTCATCTCCAAACAGGGACAATTTGACTTCCTCTTTTCCTAATTGAATACCCTTTATTTCTTCCTCCTGCCTGATTGCCCTGGCCAGAACTTGCAACACTATGTTGAATAGGAGTGGTGAGAGAGGGCATCCCTGTCTTGTGCCGGTTTTCAAAGGGAATACTCCCAGTTTTTGCCTATTCAGTATGATATTGGCTGTGGGTTTGTCATAGATAGCTCTTATTATTTTGAGATACATCCCATCAATACCTAATTTATTGAGAGTTTTTAGCATGAAGCGTTGTTGAATTTTGTCAAAGGCCTTTTCTGCATCTATTGAGATAATCATGTGGTTTTTGTCTTTGGTTCTGTTTATATGCTGGATTACATTTATTGATTTGCGTATGTTGAACCAGCCTTGCATCCCAGGGATGAAGCCCACTTGATCATGGTGGATAAGCTTTTTGATGTGCTGCTGGATTCGGTTTGCCAGTATTTTATTGAGGATTTTTGTATCAATGTTCATCAAGGGTATTGGTCTAAAATTCTCTTTTTTGGTTGTGTCTCTGCCAGGCTTTGGTATCAGGATGATGCTGGCCTCATAAAATGAGTTAGGGAGGATTCCCTCTTTTTCTATTGATTGGAATAGTTTCAGAAGGAATGGTACCGGTTCCTCCTTGTACCTCTGGTAGAATTCGGCTGTGAATTCATCTGGTTCTGGACTTTTTTTGATTGGTAAGTTATTGATTATTGCCACAATTTCAGAGCCTGTTATTGGTCTATTCAGGGATTCAACTTCCTCCTGGTTTAGTCTTGGGAGGATGTATGTGTCGAGGAATTTATCCATTTCTTCTAGATTTTCTAGTTTATTTGCGTAGAGGTGTTTGTAGTATTCTCTGATGGTAGTTTGTATTTCTGTGGGATCGGTGGTGATATCCCCTTTATCATTTTTATTGCATCTATTTGATTCTCTCTCTTTTCTTCTTTATTAGTCTTGCTAGCGGTCTATCGATTTTGTTGATCTTTTCAAAAAACCAGCTCCCATTTTAAAAACCATCAGATCTCATGAGACTTATTCACTATCATGAGAACAGTACAGGAAAGACCAGACCCCATGATTTGATCACCTCCCACTGGTTCCCTCCCACAACACATGAGAACTCACGATGAGATCCGGTTGGGGACAAAACCAAACCATATCGGTGTTGTTTATCATTTCTGAAAAATTAAGACACTACTTTTCAAATATTGTCTCTGCCTGTGTTTTTTTATTCCCATTAATTTCTGGAACTCCAATTATTTTTAACCTTTTTCATTTTTAATTTTTTGGTCTTACTGTGAAGCATTGGATATAATTTAGTAATTTTTTTAATGAAATTTCTGTTCAGCTATGTATGAACTGCTATTAAACCCACTGCCTTTTAGGTCTCAATGTATATGTATATATATGTATATGTATATATATGTATATATATGTATATGTATATATATGTATATGTATATATATGTATATGTATATATATGTGTATATATATACACACATACATACACACACATCTATATAAATATATATTTAAATATCTAGATATCTTATATCTGGATATAAATATATATATTTAAATATCTGGATATCTTCTATCTGGATATAAATATATATTTAAGTATCTGGATATCTTAATTTTATTTTGGTTTTCTGTTTTTTCTATGACCATTTATTCTGATTTTGAGTTCATTTTTATATTTTTAAACATTAAGCATGTATTTTGTATTGCGTTTGATAATTTCACATTTGTTACATGTCTTATTCTCTTGTGCTAGCTCACTTATGGTCATTTATTTTCTGATGTGGGTGTATATGTATTTCTGATATTTTTATCTATGATCTTGTATATCTTTCAACATTAAATGTATGATTTCTCTTAGATTTGTGTTTGCATAGCTTTTTTCCAAAGGAAATTTGCATTTCTTTTCTGGATGTCTAATGGAAGTTGTAGCCCAGAATATTTTAAATAAATTCTTAATTGTTGATTTTTTGAGTTGCCCACTTTACTTTAGGTAGAAATATATATGAAGGGTGCCTTTGTTTACCTATTTAAGATATATTTCTTTTCCTTTTTTTTTAAATTTTTAACTTAGCTTCATGTCTCAAGACACTATTCACTGCTAAGTCCCAAGTATTGAGTTAATTTGCAGTTTTCTCTGTTGTAAAAATGGCATGCCTGTCAGACTTTTCATCTTGAGCAGGATCACTTTGTCACCTGTTCCTTTAGTCCTATGACAATGAAAAACAGATTTAAGTTTACCTGCGTCAGCAATAGCAGCAGGGAGAATGCTAATTCGATTTTATGCTTACATACCACATAGTTATTGGCCTTTGGTTCTTTAACTTTTTCTCCAACACACTGATTCATTTTTCAGATTTTTTAATCAAAAATTTTAAATTTATTTTTATTAAGTGGGTCAGTCAGTGTTCCTGAACTACCATACTACAAAAATAGATGATAAACAATTACCTTGAAACCAAACTCTTCTCTCACAAAACACATATTATTTACATCCAGTTGACAGAGTATGCACACAAAACACATATTATTTACATCCAGTTGACAGAGTATGCATACATAACTACTGAAACTAAATAACTAGCAATATGTTAGCTCTTTGAAGCAACCAATGGATTTCCTTTTCTAGGCATATTTCAGAAACAACCCCAAGGTACTTTGAAACCTCACTTACCTATTGCCTGTGATTAAGTCTCTGGTGGCAGAAAGATATACTTACTTGGTCAGCCTTGCTTAATCTCTCTCCAACTATTAAAATCATTGACATGCTTAATTTTTGTAAGTTAAAGTATGACATACTTAAGCAGAATCATTGTTTTAAATATTTAGATTTTTAAGCATCCTTTATGTCAAATGATGTCATTGCTTGTCCCTCTTCATGCCACCATCTTGAAGAATAAACAAACAGACTATTTGCACACAAACACACATACATACATATAAAACCTAGGGAAAATAAGCACACTGTTTTATAAGAAAATTTCTTGGAGGCAAGTGAAAGGGATGGAGGAAGATGAGAATGAATGAATGGCAGAGATAGTGGGTGGAGGGAAAGCTGTGATGTATAATACACCATGTGAAACAAATGAAACCATTTGGTAGGGAAAAGCATGATAGAGCAAAATCTGACAGAAAAGTAGAGCTGTCTAGGATGTGAGATAATGAGGAAGAGATGCCAGGTCTGGACTTTGTAGTGTCTTGTATGGCTTCCTTTGCAGTGTGTACTTAAAGCCTCACCAAGACAGCAATGACTACTCTATTTGAAAATCAACCATGTTGGACAGGACGAACTGGTATTTGCAGAAGGCCCTTGATTCTGGTCTGGCTTCCTGATCTTTACAAGGCATTGTTGAATGTATGCCATGCTTTGCTGCAGTTTGATTTTTATATTCTATTTTTAAGTACGACCCACACACTACACAACCCTTCCACTTTTTATTCTCCAATACTTTTCACTTTTCATGGTCCACAAAATCTATTTTAGGGTTTACTTGGAATATAACTAACGGCATGCCTAAAATAAAATTCAGATGAACAATCCAAAAATTTGAGAATACCAAATTTATACTTTACAATTCTTCTTTGAAAGAAAAAGAGTTGTATTGCCAGTATTGCCTCCCTACAGAATGCATTGGGGATTCTTAAAGGCATCAAGCCATTTACTTTTAACAGCTCTTGCCTATTAGTCAAATAATTATTGGCCTGAATAGAAATAAGGAATTATATTGAAATTATGATGCATAGTTTTTCTGTTCTTCCCAATGAACAAATTTAAAAGTCAAGATTGGATAGATTTTTGAATAGAGTCAAAGATAAATCAGCCAAGTAATTAAATCAATATAACTCAGTATAGAAATTAAATGAATATGTGTATAACTATAATTATCAGTTATAAATACACAATTATATACAACAAACTACATTAAAATTTAACTGGCAATTATTTGCCATCTATATTTTTATAATCAACAGATGTTTTAATTACCTTTTCATGTAATTTAAATATTTGTAAGTCAAATTATTGAAATTTTTAGTTTGATGCTATCAGTGTCTCTGATGAATTTGAAGAAAATATATGATCTTTCAAATAATATCATTTTTAAACAATTTTAAGTAGTAAATAATGTGAGAAACATAATTTTTTACTAAAGTACATTCATGATTCTGACAAATTTTCTACATTGTATATCTTAATGACTAAAACCACACTTTGAATAATTTGATGATTAGATACGGAAAGTGAGACAAAAGGAGCTTCATTATATAATACATTTCTAATATGAATAAAATACATTTGGAAACCTGAACAGAAATATTACGACTAGTAATAGCATTTTCGTTATCTAGAGATCACCCTAAGGAGAGGCTATTGAGAGGTATAGGGAGATCAATTTAGATGTGAGTTAGAGAATTTTAATTTGAAAAGTGTGCTGTTCTAAGTAGTAATGTTGAGAAGACAGAAGAAAATAAATGATTCAAGTTGTTATGGAAGGGTTTTCCTCAGGAATCACTAATCATATCTACTTCTTTCCTATGTATGTGGCAAATACATAAAGATATGCTGGTTTTTTATATGAGTTTGCTGCTGTTAGAGAAAATCCTCTACCCAAATATCAGTGGATAGACACACAGAAATTTACCTCCCACTGACTTAAAGTGTGGGTTAGATTGGACCAAATGAGTTCATTCTGGGACTCAGGCTAATAATGAAGGCTCTGCCATAGCTGTATTAGCTAAAATGTTCCCAATTTGTTGTCATGGGTCATACCTAATCAATGCTAAAAGTGGTTGGAAACTTAATATGTTAAATTATCTTCTTTTGCAGGGCAGCAAGTAAATGGTTTTACTCAATGGTAGCTAAATTGGCTTAGTCATCCAAGAAAAGTAGATACTTTCCTCTATGGTTCATGTCAAGACTGAAAAATTGATCTTTACTGGGATGCTTGCTGAAATATTCCCATTTGCCTTTTCAGTCTCATTGATTAGGGAAGCTCTCTGCATTGAAGAAATCTAGCTAGATATATTATAGAGATGCAGGAAGAAATTTGGCAGTCTAGGAAGAAATAGACCTGTAAGCTTTACGGACTAGCCCTTGGTTTGAATCTGTCAGGATTCCTCTGGAAAGTTGATTAACTTCCGGTGCCTCAATTCTTTCTTCTGTTCATTGGTGATAATAACAGAACCACTTTTCACAAAGAAGTAAAAATCAACCTCGTTCAAGTTTTATAATTTAAGCAAATTTTCAAATAAGGAAATAGCTTTCAAGTAATATTAGTAAGAGAGGAAAAAAGTTTACTTGCTGAAGCCTGGCCCCGAAAATAAAGCTGATTTTATGCTATACAAATTCTGGTTCTGGTAAGAACCAAGTAAAATCGCTGCATTCATAATGGTGGTATTGCCATTGCCCTTTCTGCCCTAAGCTCTAGCCACACAGTACTTTCTTCAAGTCTTTTAACACATTTCACAATTTGCCTTCTTTTTTTTCAAACCTAGAACATAATTAATTTTTCTTCTAATGCTATAACCCACTTAATTTCTTCTTTCTCTTTCAAGTAGCAGTTTACATGTATTTTCCCCTTAGAGGCTCTCTTTCACCGGTAGTATGTTTTCATGTTTTTTTATTTTTATTATTTATTTATTTTTTTTTTTTTTTTGAGACGGAGTCTCCTTCTGTCACCCAAGCTGGAGTGCAGCAGCATGATCTCAGCTCACTGCAAACTGTATCTCCCAGGTTCAAGCGATTCTCCTTACTCAGTCTCCTGAGTAGCATGGACTACAGGTGCCCACCACCATGCCCGGCTAATTTTTGTATTTTTAGTAGAGATGGGGTTTCACCATGTTGGCCAGGCTAGTCTCGAACTCCTGACCTCAGGTTATCCGCCCCCCTCAGCCTCCCAAAGTGCTGGGATTACAGGTGTGAGCCACTGCGCCCGGTCCATGTATTCTATTTCTATAGATCTCTCCATTTCCACTTTTCTAATATGCATTATTCTTCATTGCCATTACTTGTTGAAATTTGTATCTCCTTTCTCTACTGTAGTCTACACAAAGGGAGAGATTTCATAAGTAATGTTCATTGTTACATCTCTACTTTCCATGCCTCTCGGGTAATAGATACGAGTATAGGAGAGCATCAAAAGAAAGAATAATCCACTTAACTTCTACTGTACAAAATATGCCCAAATTCAACCATATGCATTACATTTTTTTTTCTTTGTGCAACCTGCTTCACTTGTGGTGAGTTACATCTTGTCCCCTCTTTGCTGAACAAGAGTTGCATGTGATCATCGCCAACTAATTCCAGGATCTAATACCCATCTTTCTTGGGATGGCTTTTATTTTCTCCTTCCTAGGCAAAAGTTGAACCCTCTCTTCTATGCCAGAAACACTGGGTGCACAGTTAATATTTTCGGACAAGCTTGACATTTCTAATATTTTATTTCTTCATCTTTTTATTTTCTCTTCTGAAGCTATCTGAAAGAAGATTATGTACAATTTGTCAAAGTTTTCGTGTTACTTATAGTTAAGAAAAAACTCCTTTTTAACAAATGCCACTCATTTATACATACTCTTTATTTTACTTAAATATTTCAATGATCTATTAATCATTGTACATGGTATGTTTTAAAATTAGACTTATCAAATTACATATGACATCTCTGTAGTTACACCAAGTGAAAAAATATCTGAAAACAGTTAATAGCTATGTTCCGAAAACATATTAATAAGCACAATAGATGAAGAAATGGCTGAACATAATTATACTTAGCTACAAATACAACTAAAAATTAACTTCAGAGCTTTTTTTCAGATTGTATTCACCCTAAGTTATTCTTTAAGAATAGATTGATTTTACATCTATTGAAATATAAAATTATTTTCTAAATAATAGATCAATGAATTAGGACATGTGCGTGGCATTTATGAATTGTCCTATTAATGTCAAAGCAGAGATATCCATTCAAAGCAGAGGATTCATCAAGCTGATTAATCTTTGTGTAATGTTTTTATCTTTGTTCCTACAATGATTGAAATAGCAAGCACAAAATTTTTGTCTATTTAATATGTAGTTGTTATAAAAATTTTATTTTAGTTTCAAATTATCTTGGTGAGGCAGGCAAGACATTTAAATATGTGACTAAAACATATGTTTATTTTTGTCATTTCAAGTTGACTGATGGGGCAATCTCTGGTTTGATTCCCATCTGGTACTTTCTGTGGGCCAAGCATTTATAATATTTAATGTACCTAGATTATGTAAGACAAGAAAATGTCTTCATTTCCAGATATACTTTATTTTCAATGACTAAATCAACAAATACTCAAGTATTCCTCTTTATCTCTGCAAACAGTTTAATGTGAAAAAATAGACTTTTGCCAAACATATAATTTAGGAAAATGAGATTCTGAGATTGTCATTATTGCCTATTTTCCCTTAGCAGTGTTACCATGGACTTAGCATGTTAAAAAAATACAAAGTTATTGCCTCACAGTTTCTGTGGGTCAGGAGTCAGGGCATGACATAGCTGGGTCCTTTGCTGCAGAGTGTCAGAAAGCTGCAATCAAGATATTGGTGAGAGCTTCATTTTCATCTGAGGCTCGACCAGGGAAGATTCCAATTCTAAGTTCACAATGTGGTCAGCATCATTCATTTCCTTGTGGGCTCTTTGGTTTAGGGCCTTAGTTTTTTTGCAGTTGAGCAGTTGCCTAGAGTCTGCCCTCAGGTTCTTGCCATGTGAGCCACCCCGAGATGACTTTTAGCTTCCCAAAGGCCAACAGGGGAGAGTAAATCTCCTCAGAAATATTGCTTACAATTGTATGTAACATTATCACAGAAATGACATCCCATCACCTTCGCTGTACTATATCTAAAGCAAAATCCTTACTCTGCCCTCACTCAAAGAGAAGGGATCACCAAAGGTGTGGAAACCAGGATGTGAGATCATGGAGCATGGTAGTATTTTTTCACCACAGAGATGAAAAAGTAAGTTTTCATGGTGATAAAATGAGACGAAAGAAAAACTTTTCATAGCACAGGTTCTAAATGATAGGTAGGGTATTTCAAGATACAGCACTTATTATTAAACTTTAGTAAACCTGCAACTCTTTCAAAACACTTGCACTTCACCTCGTGGCCATAATTAAAATTTGGAATCTGTCCAAGATACTACACCTCTAGTTGTCCTTCATAATATAGGCTAATAATTGTCCCAGATCTCCCAGATCATAGAATCAAGAGGTTTTATTTACATCCTAGTAGCTGTATTTAATCATTTATAATCTTATACAAATTTTTTTTCAGTAGGTCGTGAGATCTTTTTCCTCAACCTGAATTTGAAAGCTGGACCTACTCCTGAATTTATAAAGAAATGTGGCTCCTGAATTGTTGTCTTATTTGCTATTCCTAAACCAGTTCCCAGCTAGGTCAGTCCAGAAACCTTGATGGTAACCCCTTCTGCAAGTCTCCTTGATCTCAGCGATCATTTCTTCACCTCCTCCTCAGTCCTCCAACCTCCTCAACTGCACACATCTCTTGAATACCAGTGGTCATTATGCTGTATTTCCCTCCGTTGCCTCTAGTCACAGATCATTTTTTGACTTCACCTTCTACTACACTCTCTTTGAAATAATGACATCTAAATCTGACTCACATAGGAACTGTAGTCAAATACTACAAAGTTTAATCAGTTTAGGTTTTTCTTTTCGCCAGACCCTTATGAGCCTGTTCTTCAGCTTACTTGAGACCTCCAGTTCTTTGAATCCTTGCTGCACTTTTCCCACACCCCCAAACATGAGGTTTTAGTTGGAGAATATACACAGATTTCTAAGACCTACTTTTTTCCTTGTCAGACTCAGACACTGTCACATACTGTCAGGGCCAGCTTCACAGGTTTGCAATCTGTAAACTTATGTAGGGCCTCACCCTCAAAAGGGACCCTGTACTTGGCTTAATGCTCTGCTATCCCAACTAGAATTCTTTATTGTCTCACCTTGGAATTTGTGTTTTATAAATGATAGCTAATGGGACAGTAGAGCATATGTGTTTGCAGAGGAGACGGACAGGGTGGTAGTGCACACCTGTATAGGCTCAGGCTTAATGATAAGTATTATGCCTTCCCTCAAAAAATATATATTCCCATCTAATTCTTATACTTAATCCTTATACTAGCACCTGTAATCCCAGCACTTTGGAAGGCTGAGCGGAGAGCCTCAGCTTTTAAGTATAATCCCTATGCTTGAAAGCACCTAAAACATACAATTTACAGAGAATAGAATACATTTTCATGATTTCATAATCTTATATGTCCAGTTCCACAGTTAAGCTCATCATTATCCTGATGAAAGCTGAGTCTACCTGAGATTCAGATTCCTTTAAAATCCAGCCCAATAAAAACAGGAGGTTGGCATAGATGTTTTTTTATTTGCCCCTAAAGAGCCAGTGTCCACTTTTCTCTGCCATGTTATTTCAGAAGGTCGACCTCTATGAACACCCTAGCTGTCTTCTCTAACTTCGATCTTTTCATTGAATGTGGTCAGGGAGAGGCCTGACAATAGGTATGGAGTTTTCCTTTCTGTGATCCCTTCTGTAGAAGTCACTGGTCTTATTCAAGTAGCCACTTCATAATTTCCCTCTTCTGAGTTTTAGCCGTTTCTCTCTCCTCTTATCCCTTTCAGAAAGTTTACACAATCCTGCTTTTACTAGCCCCAGGATCCTGCACTACCTGATGTAATTCGTTACCCAATCCCCATGCCTTAGTAAAATAGTTCCTTTTAAAATAAACATTTCTCAAACGATTCATAAAATACAGTGAAAGCATTTTCTTTTGTTAAGTCATCCCTGACATCCTTCATCTCTATCAGGTAGGAGTAACCACTCACATCTTTGCTTCAGTTGAGTTCCTCACACATGCCTCTATTTTATCACTGGGCAAATCACTGTAACACACCTGTAGGAAAACAAGGGTGGTATGACTATCAGTCTCTCAGCTCACAAAGCAACTTCCGCCACTGAATATCGTCTAATCTGCTTAGGGGCCTAGGTTCTCTCTTTCTGCTCACAATCCCCATACAGGGCATCTGTGGCCTATGATATTGTCTAAGTTGGGATTTGCAAATGATCAAGAATAGTGAATAGAAGATTAACCGCTGTGAAATCCCAAGACTATTGCCCTCGCTTTCCTCTTCTCTATATCCAGATGATCTCTCCTCTCTCCCAGTTTTCGTACTTCATGACTGTCCATCCAAATATATATGTGTGTGTGTATATATATATGTATATTTGGAAGCATATATGTGTATATATGTATATGTATATATACATATGTACATATACGTGTGTATATATGTATGTATACATATACGTATATATGTGTATGTATGTATATATTTATGTATGTACATATGTATATATGTGTATGTCTATATGTGTATGTATGTACATATGTATGTATATATGTAAGTATATATGTATATATGTAAGTATATATGTGTATACACACACACACACACACACACACATATATTTGTTTGTTTTTGTTTTTTGAGAGAAGGTCTTACTCTGTTGCCCAGGCTGGAGTACAGAGTACGATCATAGCCCACTGCACTCTCAAACTTCTGGGCTCAAGTGATCCTCTGCTTCAGCCTTCTGAGTAGCTGGTACATGCCTACATGCGTATACCACTGGCCCGGTTAATTTTGTTTTATTTTTTGACAGAGATGGAGTCTCAGTATGTTTACCAGACTTGTTTCTAACTTCTGACATCAAGCGATTCTTCCCCCTCAGCCTTCCAAAGTGCTGGGATTACAGGTGCGTGGCCCATTTTTATTTCTAATTGCTACCATCTTCTCTCACTCCTTCTCTAGGTTTTAGAGGGTAAAATGCTGCTAAGAATAACTCCATTTCCTTATTAAATTGAGGTATCCATTGAATGTTTGTTTCAACTTTAATGTTCACTGGGAGAATAAAAGTGTCCCTTGGAATATAAAAGTTAAAAAAAAATGATGTGAGAAACACGTAATGAACAATCTTTTAACAACTGGCAATTCAAACCCAACACATTTCTACATTTTATCTTCATTACTTGCCCTTAAACTTCCTATTGTTTAGGACTATGTTTTATCCACTTACGCATACTCAGAATTAGTGTGGATTTTTGGTGTGCTCGGTATATCTTTGTTGAATAAAATACTAAAATGATTATTAAAAACTTCTCATCACTAAAATCTGGAACTTGTCCCAAAGGCAGTTAATTTCCTTTGGACTTCAACATTATTTTTTCTACTGTTGTCACTGAATAAATACAAACTAATGATTTGGGAAATAAGAAACCTCATTTTGTTTCCCCTGGTTTTGTTATTTAGAGAAAGAGGAGAATAAAATATAGTGTTTTAAAATAAAAACAACATAGGTGTTAATTCAATCTATCACTATAAATGAGTTTTATAATACTAAAATACAATGGTGTAAAGTTTAAGCTAGGATACATTCTAGACTATCTTGAATTAATCTTGAATTAGTATATTTATTGGGTAAACTTTTCATATAACATTTTACACCATTTGAACTAGTAGATATTTTATTGATAATTTCACAGAAATATTTTCTCCTCTTACTCTATTAAAATACACCAAGTTATTAAAGTGTTTAGAAGCAGTATTTTTGGCTTAAAAAAAGAGGTTTTGTTTTTTTCCAGTATCAGAATCAATCCTGAAATGATATCTACCTTCTGCAGTTTTTAATGAAATATTTCCCTCTAACATTTTTTCTTGTTGGTAAAGTAGAACTATAGCTTCTAAAATTTGGTCTGCTAAATAAATCAATTTATTTTTTTAAATATTATATATTCTTATCCAGATAAGCCTGCCCATATTTGACTTTATTTAATATTTTAGGTTGAGCCTGGACTGTGTGAAGATATATATTTCTAAAATACAGATAAGCATATATTTAAAAGCATTTTATGAAAGGAATGTATCATATTATTTATTTATATTTATTTCTAGAATATGTTCTTTATAAGATCCCTATATTTTATATTTTATATAGGATTATATTGTTAGACTTGACAGAGAATAAGCATAAAATTATTCTATATTCATAAGTAAAAATATACTTTTGTCTGCTACCACATAACTCGTGATAGAAACAGATAAAGTTGTGATAACTTTCTCAAAATAGCAACTGACAATTTATATGCCTTAATGAATAAAATATAACTAAAATTTCTTAAATATATTTAAAAGTCTGCACTCAAAATTAGTCACCTCAGTCTCAATACTCAAATGATGTAACTGTAGGCTCATCAGAATTAATTTTATTACACAGTTTTTTTTTTTGCCTTCAACGAACTTTGAATAATTTATCTTACATTATTGTTTAGGCATTTCTGGTCTTTTATAAACTATCTCAAAATACAGCTACTTGCTTTAAAAGAATTAGCAAAACATTGCATATGCCCCTCAACCTGGTGGTAGAATATTTTCTGAAGACTTGGCTGTTAGAAAATTTATGTAAGTTGGCTGGGTGTGGTGGCACACCCCTGTAATCCCAGCACTTCAGGAGGCTGAGGCAGGCAGATCACAAGGTCAAGAGATTGAGAACATCCTGGCCAACATGGTGAAACCCCACCTCTACTAAAAAAAAAAAAAAAAAAAAAAAAAACCAGGTGTGGTGGGGTATGCCTGTAGTCTCAGCTACAGGCTGAGGCAGGAGATTCGCTTGAACCCGGGAGCAGAAGTTGCAGTGAGCTGAGATCGCACCACTGCACTCCAGACTGGCAACAAAGCGAGACTCCATCTCAAAAAAAAAAAAAAAAAAAGACAAGAAAAGAAAAGAAAATCTATGCAAGTTTATGATATTTAAAACAAATAGTTAAATTGCAGGCTGTTGTCTTTACTCCTAGTTCCATAAAATGTAATAAAATCTATACTAAAACAGGCCACTTGGTTTTACAGTACGTCCATTAAATTCTCATTTGACTATTTTTTCATCTCTAACAAAGTAAGCATTTAAAATTTTCTCTGAAAAAGGACTGTAAGGGTATCACTCATCTTTCTTATTCATCAAGCATGATTTGAGTTTATTATAGTATGTCACAAGCTAGGTTGTAAAGCAGTTTGGTCTCTAGCATTGTTCACCTCTGCATTCACTGATCTAATTGTGATCATTAGAGTATTAAGTATTTGAATGGGGAAAAATATAGAGTAGATAGCATGAGTGTAATTAATTCTAATAATGTTCAAATTGATTCCTCACATAATATAGACCACACTAAAGAATTGTATGTAGTCTTTTATGTAAATCAGTTCTTTGAAAATCATTTCATGTAAATGCAGTCATGCATGGCATAACAATATTTTGGTCAACAAGGTCCGCATATAGGACAGTGGTCCCATAAGATTATAATGAAGCTGAAAAATCCTATAATCCAGTGATGTCATAGCACAATTACTTTATTTTTTATACATTTAATTTTTTTTGTTTCTGTTTACAAATTGAATGTCCCATAAGTGTACAGTGTTTATAAAGTCTACATCATGTACAGTAATGTCTCAGGCCTTCACATTTACTTATCATTCATTCCTGACACCCAGAGCAACTTCAGGAACTGCAAGCTCCATTCATGGTGAGTGTTCTATACAGGTGTGCAATTTTTAATCTTATTTTGCTGTGCCTTTTCTATGTTTAGGTATGTTTATATACACAAGTACTTACCATTGTATTACAGTATTGTCTGCAGTATTCAGTACAGTAACATGCTGTACAGGTTTGTAGCCTAGGAGCAATAGGCTGTAACACATAGCCTAGGTATGTAGTGGGCTATACCATCTAAGTTCACATAAGTAAATTCTATGATATTTCCATGATGATGAAATTGCCTAATGATACATTTCTCAGAATATATCTCTGTCATTAAGCAGCACATAACTGTATACTGGAGTAGTATCTTTTAGTCTATTAAGATTTAAACATGTAGTTTATGAAAGAAGCTCCCTCTATTATTATGTCTTATATATGAGATTTAATTGGGTATGATATACGGATTAATAGTCTAAAAATGTATAAACAGTAATATGTGCAAGGATGCATTCAAAAGAAACTGAAATTGCAGAAAATAAAATATATAAATGCCATCTATCATCATATCCTTGAAAGATAATCACTGAAAATTCCAACATAATGACTATAATATTATTCCCATATGCATGCCACAATTATGTAAATATCTAACCTAATTAGAATTATGTTGCTCTATATAATTTTGTTTAGCCCTTTTCAGTCAAAATCTACTTTAGCATCTTACATATCTTGAAAAAGCCTAAAACCATAAAAACCCTACAAGAAAATCTAGGCAATACCATTCAGGACATAGGCATGGGCAAAGACTTCATGACTAAAACACCAAAAGTAATGACAACAAAAGCCAAAATTGACAAATGGAATCTAATTAAACTAAAGAGCTTCTGCACAGCAAAAGAAACTATCATCAGAGTTACTAGGCAACTTACAGAATGGGAGAAAATTTTTGCAATCTATCCATCTGACAAAGGGCTAATATCCAGAATCTACAAATAACTTAAACAAATTTACAAGAAAAAAACAACCCCATCAAAAAGTAGGCAAAGGATATGAACACACAATTCTCAAAATAAGACATTTTTGCAGCCAACAAACATATGAAAAAAAGCTCATCATCACTGGTCATTAGAGAAATGCAAATCAAAACCACAATGAGATAACATCTCACACCAGTTAGAATGGCAATCATTAGGCCGGGCGCGGTGGCTCATGCTTGTAATCCCAGCACTTTGGGAGGCCGAGGCGGGCGGATCACGAGGTCAGGAGATCGAGACCATCCTGGCTAACACGGTGAAACCCCGTCTCTACTAAAAATACAAAAAACATTAGCCGGGCGTGATGGCGGGCGCCTGTAGTCCCAGCTACTCGGGAGGCTGAGGCAGGAGAATGGCGTGAACCCGGGAGGCGGAGCTTGCAGTGAGCCGAGATTGCGCCACTGCACTCCAGCCTGGGCCACAGAGCGAGACTCCATCTCAAAAAAAAAAAAAAAAAAAGAATGGCAATCATTATAAAGTCAGAAAACAACAGACACTGGAGATGATGTGGGGAAATAGGAACCCTTTTACACTGTTGATGGGAGTGTAAATCAGTTCAACCATTGTGGAAGACAGTGTGGCGATTCCTCAAGGATCTAGAACCAGAAATACCATTTGACCCAGCAATCCCATTACTGGGTATATATCCAAAGGATTATAAATCATGCTGCTATAAAGACACATGCACACGTATGTTTATTGTGGCACTATTCACAATAGCAAAGACTTGGAACCAACTCAAACGCTCATCAATGGTAGACTGGATAAAGAAAATGTGCCATATATACATCAAGGAATACTATGCAGCCATAAAACGGGATGAGTTCATGTCCTTTGCAGAGACACAGATGAAGCTGGAAACCATCATTCTCAGCAAACTAACACAAGAACAGAAAACCAAACACCGCATGTTCTCACTCATAAATGGGAGTTGATCAATGAGAACACATGGACACAGGGAGGGGAACATCACACACCGGGGCCTGTCGAGGGGTGGGGGACTAGGGGAGGGATAGCATTAGGAGAAATACCTAATGTAGATGATGGGTTGATGGTTGCAGCAAACTACCATGGCACGTGCATACCTATGTAACAAACCTGCACGTTCTGCACATGTACCCCAGAACTTAAAGAATAATGATGAAAAGAAAGAAAAAGCTTTTGTAAAATAAACTTAAATGCTAAATGTTTGATGATTACTATTATGAAATATATTAACTTTACCCAAAAGGATATAATAATAATATGTAATATACATAATAAGGATCACAAATTAAGCAAACATATACTCAAACTCAGGTTTAAGATAGAAAATCAATACATTTTACACTTTCTATATACTATTTCTCAATTGAATTATAATCCTCTCTTTTAGATGTAATTATTATTCTTATTTTTTTAATTCCTTGAGGTATTTATTTCACTCTTATGTGTAATTTTGAAGAAATTTTGTTTAAATGGGTTCATTCTGCAAATAATCTGGTGGTGGAGTTCAGCCACATCAATGCAGGAAACTATAGAACATTCAACTTCATATTGCATAGTATTTTATTACATAAGTATGTAAGTATTTTATTATATAAGTATATCTATTTTTTCATTTATATTTGCTGTAATTCCTTTTGTCTCCCAACATAATGATATAAAACAGTATATATATGCAAGGATTCTCTAGAGGTGAAAATTGCTATATCATGGATTTGCACATTTTCAAATGTGTCAGATAATATTAAATTGTTTTCCAAAATCATTATAGCATTTTACATTCCCACCAGCAGTGTACAGCATCCCTTCTGCTTCATATTCTTGCCCATACTTGATATATTTAACAGTTTCTAGGTGACCTTTAAAGTTCAGTAAGATTTTAAAAACAAAGGGAAAAGATAAAAACCACAGTTACTTTGCTTTGCATTACTTTACTCAAGAAGTTAAAACTCAATGGCTCTTAAAGTAGTGTACGTACAATTTCATAATTATGTAGTACCTAATCTTAGTCCATCTGTGATGGTTTATGTGTCAACTTGTCTAGGTTGTACTAGTAATGGTACTGATTGTGTAATCAATAATTAATCATGTGTTGCTGCAAAGGTATTTTGTTGGTCTGGTATGGTTAAGATATACAATCAGTTGACTTTAAGTAAAGAAGATTACCATTGATAATGTGTGTAGCCCTCATCCAATCATTTAAAGGCTTTAAGAGCAAAAATGGGTTTCCCAGAGAAGGTGGTCTACCTCAAGGCTGAGGCATCAAATGCTGCCAGAGGTTTCAGCCTGATCGATTCATTGAATTTCAGACTCACGACTGCAGCGTCACCTCCTTTCTTGGTTTCCAGCTTGTTGACTGCCCTACAGATCTTGGATTTAGCAGCCCCCACATTCACATAAGCCAATTCCATAAAATCTCCCCCCCATCCTTCTCTCTCTCACAGGCAGAATTAACAGCTTTATTTATCCTTTCCTCAACAAAAGAGAAATAGGTTTGAGGGAAGATAAAAACTTTGGAACATTATTAATATATGTGGAGAGAAGTCATATTAAACATAGGAACAGTGTACATATCCAAATTCAAAGGTAGAGAAAATCATATTATATTTCCTTGTCTTCACTATCATTATTCTGTTTCCCATTTAGTGGCCGCCAAATACTATAGACAAAAAATACCTTTGTTATGTAAAAAAAAACTTGAAATGTCATGTGAACTTCAAAATTATAACAAAATACCTTTTAATATTTCTATTCTTTAATACATTTCTTCATTGTGCAAAATATGCAAGCGGGTCTTTCATTTTTTATTTAAATATGTTTTAAACAGTAGCTCTTGATTTTTTTTTTGTAAAAACATAGACTCATAGTAATTGAAATAATGCTCTAAAAATCATTTACATCTTATAAACTGTGTTTTACCAAATAAATATTCTGCTGTTTTGCAGCCACCCCACAGAAACTATATAGACTTCTACCCCAGATTGGGTTTTGATGTCACGATACCATACAAAACACACGAAAGGATTTGAAAACGCTCATCACTTACATAACGAGGCTTTCTGGGGAGAGCAGGAAGGCTTCCAAACACTTCCAAAAGGTTTGAGAGAGTAGGGAAAGGAGAATAAATTTTCTATAGATATGAAAAAGTGCGGCCAAGGTGAAGTATTTTTTTTGTATTATTTGAACTTCCAGCTGATGCTAAACGAGAGAACATCATAGCTTTCTTATCCGTTTGACCAGATGTCAGGAAGAAGCAAAATATGGGAGGGAGGAGGCTTAAAAGCTCCCAACAGTTAAGCACCAAAAACTTGGAGTCTGATTTTTTATGACTTGTGTATTGTAGGAATTAAGAGTAGGATAATGGTATTTTTATTTCTTTTGGAATGATTTTATATCTATCAGTAATCCTTGTAGTTTCAGCCACTCTACTTTGGGGTAATTTCAGTAATAAAAAGAGAAGAAATTCCTTGCTTGTCCCTTTTTTAGAAATTTTACTGAATTCATGATGCATATTTTTAATTATAGTAGTAGGCCCTTCCAGCACAGTTGACAAAAGTAAAATTTGCAAAAATGTTTCTTGATTAAATTATAACCTCTATTTTTGGAGATGTGGAAGACTAACACGAAAATAATGCCTATTATAAACTTTTATAAACGCAGTCTTTTTACACAAAATACTGTTTTCAGTTCAGAAAAGACTTTGAGACAGAGCAAATATGTTCCCATTGATAAAAGCCATGCAAGATGGTAAGTGGGAAAGTTGATGTTGGGCTTCCTTTAGTGAGGAGCTGAGAGGAAATATTCATCTTTGTAACCTAGAGGCTTGGTTAAGTGGGCTTTAATGCCCACTTAAGTGCAAGACTTTGGGTCTTTATGATGAATTTCAAGCTGAATATGAAGGTTTACCCTTGAATCATCTTCCATATTAAACAAAAATAGGAAGTAGAAATAAATTTTTTAAACGTGTATATATTTCCAAACTCGGCTCTCAACAGATTGCTTAGAGAAAAAAATAAAATGCTTATCTTAAGGATATAAAAACTATGGCTTTGTGCCTATTGTGTGTTTGGGGTTGTCATTTACACTACTTACCTGGTCTGGTAGCCACTTGGGTGAAATTAACAAAAAGTTAATCCAGAACTGATGGTATTCCTGGGATGCTTATTATAAGCATTAAAAAAGACACTCTGAAAATACAAGCCTCGACCTGGCAAATAGGAATTTCCGCAGAATACATCTGTCTAAATACTGCCTCGCAATTTAAAATGACAAGCAAATGAGGATAGGAGACAATATCCTATGGTGACTGAGGGCTCTTGACCCAACAAACAGAAGTCTAATTATTTATTACTATAAAGCAATTTGAAACAATTACTAACTCTTAGAAATTAGAATTTAATATTCTGGGCCAGGCACGGTAGCTCACGCCTGTAATCCCAGCACTTTGGGAGGCTGAGGCGGGCGGATCACAAGGTCAGGAGATGGAGACCATCCTGGCTAACATGGTGAAACCCCATCTCTACTAAAAATACAAAAAATAGCCGGGTGTGGTGGCGGGCGCCTGTAGTCCCAGCTACTCGGGAGGCTGAGGCAGGAGAATGGCGTGAACCCAGGAGGCAGAGCTTGCAGTGAGCCTGGATCGTGCCACTGCACTCCAGCCTGGGCGACAGAGGGAGACTCCGTCTCAAAAAAAAAAAAAAAAAAAATACGAATTTAATATTCTGTTTGAGCAGCAAAATTAGACATAGACAAAGAGAGCATCAGTAAATTGGGAGAAACAATTTTAGGCAATCACCATGTAATGCAATTTAGTAAGAGTGACATGGAAAGTATAAGGGATATTAAGGATGGTATTAGATGGTCCACATACATTTAATAGAAACCTCAGAATACAAATGTCAAGAAAACGAAAAGGAGGAAGTAAGGATAGAGTAAATGAATAACAATTTTTTAGAAGTTGATTTTAAAATGGCCCAAGCAAACTGAATTAAAGTAAATGCACATTTAAACACTATAGTGATACCAGAGAAAAATAAATACAGGACAGAAACAAAGTTGCCATTAGTGTTTGAAACACCCATCTTTTTGAAGACAGATATAACATTTAAAATCTTATGTGTTCTCCCTATTAAACAAAGTGTATATATATATATATATATATATATATATATATATATATATATATATATGATAAGCAGAGTGAAGGTAATTGTAAATATAAACTTTAATCAGAAAGTGAAATGTTAAGTTTGTTAAGATTAAAAATAGAAGCATTATATCGACAACATTGTAGGATGTTAAAAGACAAATTCGTCAGCTGGAGGAAACGAAAGATAATTGAAAAGCAATCTAAGATGGTAAAATATTCACTGACTTAAAAAGGCAAAAAACCTCTTTTTAAAAGTTGATGCCCTTAATAGCTCATACAAAATCTCTTTCAAGGCGTCCCAAAACTGGCATTTTGCTTAGCTGATGAAGGCTGCATTGCTAGTAACACCTTTGGCTTGCAGAGCTACCTACGAAGCCTAATTTTCTGATGTACTGAATTCTTTTCAATTAAAAGTCTATGGAACCACTGCACACCTGTTAGAAGGAGCAAAATCTAGAACACTGGCTCCACCAAATTCTGGCTAATGTATGAAGACTCAGGAACTAATCTTCATTGCTGGAGGTAATGCGAAATGGTATAGCCACTTTGGAAGACAATGCGGTAGTTCCTTAAAAAACTAAACTTACTCTTACCATATGATCCAATCATAATTCTTGGTATTTATGCAAAGGAGATGAAAGCTTATGTTCACAGAACGAGCAGCACATGGTTTTTTATGGCGGCTCTATTCATAATTATGGATGCTTAGAAGCAACCAGGACATCCTTCAGTGGATGAATGGATAAATAAACTATAGTACAATCAGACAATGGAATAGTATTCAATGCTAAAAAATATAATCTATCGAGCCGTGAAAAGACAAGGAGGAACCCTAAATGTAAAGTGCTACATAAAATAAGACAATCTAAAAAATTGACATATTATATGACTTAGAATATATAACATTCTGGAGAAGGCAAAATTTCAGAGACAATAAAAAGTTCAGTGGTTGCCAGCAGCAATTAGGAGAGAGGTATGAAAAGGTGGTATACAGAGGATTTTTAGGGCAGTGAAAATGGTTTGTATGACACTATGATTGTAGATACATGTTAAATATTTATCAAAACTCATAGAATGTAAAACACCAAGAGTGAACCCTAATGGTAAACTATAAACATTGATTGTGTCAATGCAGTTCATCAATTGTAACAAATGTACCACTCTTTTTGGGGATGTTGATAATGGAGGAAACTGTACACGTGTAGGACTAGTGGGTAAACGGGTATGTAAGAACTCTCTGTTCTTCTCAATTTTGCTGTGAACCTAAAACTACCCTAAAAAATATCTATTATAAAAACATTATCTATGGAGATCAACAGGAGAAATCTTACTTCAACTGATTCTAGTTATAAGCAGTAAGAAAAAAACTCCTTTAACCAAGAAACCAGTTAGTTTGAGCAACATTATGTTTGTTATTATTATGGTTGTTGTTCCTCATGCTGCTGTAATAGCCCCACACTAGTGACAACAGGAAAATATACAAGTCAAAATTGAAATTGCATTCATAATAGTATTTATGTCAGTTTACAAAACATGTCTGTAGCTCATCTGGCAATGTTTATTCCTTGAATACTCTCAGTTGAATTAACTACTACCTCCTCAGTGGCTACTAAACCATTTTCCCCAGACCTCTTTCCTAGCATTTATCACGTAATGCCCTTGTATGTGCTGTATCTGAAAATAAAATCCATTCAAATATTTTTAGTTCTGAAAACTCCATTTACATTCAGATTTTCTAACAGAAAATATTTATTTATTATGAGGCAATCTTCTAGTTTGTATAATTTTTACTAATTTTCCAGTAGTAAAACTTTAAGAGCAAAAATTATGCTTATTAATATGTTTGTGTGTTGTTTTGTAGGTTGTAAATATCAATATATTGTGTATATTGTAGGTATATATGTAGGTATACGTGTATATTTCTTAACGTGAGTGTTCAAAGTGTTCAATAAGTATTCATTAAATGAATGTGGGGAGTACTGAGTACTTTATGATAAATACATATAATTGCCTTTTGGAGATTTCAATAAAATAGTTACTTCAAACTGCAATAAGTCAATTAAAGAGCACACGTATTTTTAAAAAGTGTCACATATAAAAGTTCTCTCACTGAAATATCATCACTGGCTGAAAATTAAGAGTTATTCTTCTCTGCTCACTTTGGTGTATTAGTTTCCAATCCATTAACTCTAACAAGTTAATAAAAACACACATTTTTAATAAAATACTGAAAAGGGCTATGTATTATGAAGATAGAAATTACAAATTATGTAGAATTTATTTACATCACCAACCTATGAACTAGCCTATTCAGTTTAAGAAAGAACATATTTCATTACTGTATGATTTTTAATGTTTCTGTAATTCTGTTTCCATGATATATACGCTTTATATTATAAATATATCCTAAATTCTTTAGCAAGTGCTAAATACTGTTCTCCTTAGAAATTTATTTTCTACACAGAGAGGAAAAAATATGCCTAAGGTACTGATTCAATTATTCCACATATGGAGACAGTTTCTGTTTTGTGGTTTTGTTTGTTTGTTTGTTTGTTTGTTTGAGACTGGGTCTGGCTCTGTCACCCAGGCCGGTGTGCAATAGCATGATCTCTGCTCATTTCAACCTCTTTCTCCCAGGCTCAAGCCATCCTCCCACTTCAGCCTCCCAAGTACCTGAAACCACAGGTATGCACTGCCACACCCAGCTAGTTTTTGTATTTTTAGTATAGATGGGGTTTCTTGTCATGCTGGCCAGGCTGATCTCAAACTCCTGGGCTCAAAGCAATCTGGCTACCTCCACCTCCCAAAGTGCTGGGATTACAGACATGAGCCACCATACCTGATGGAGACAGTTTGTTTTAATCATCATGACATTTTTTACTAAAAAATAAACAAAATATTTAGAAAACATACTATACTTATAATTACTTGATAAAGGGTTTCCATTATTAAGTAAGAATATTCATTTGTAATATATAAAACTACCAATGCATAATCTTGTAAAATTCTAAATATATCTTTCATTAGATTATATATGAATGCTTTTGAGTTCATTTTGTTAGGTTAGGGCTAGTATCAGATATTTTATCACGATTATGATTTGGAAACTCATATGATAAAAATAAGTGTGACTGTGTTTAATATATCTGGTGATATTTACCATATTAGAAATTAGAATGAAAAAATACATATTTATCATAAATTTTAGGATAACAATAATGAACATATTACATGTTAAATTTATTTCTAATAAAAAACTGCACTGTTTGTAAAATTTAAAAAATATATATGATATGTGTCTGTATACATTTGAATTTTAAGCAGTCCGGTAAGTTCATGTATTTAAACTATTATAGTTTTTGTTAAGTAGCCTATATTTACCAATGACATTTTATCAAATTGGTTATCAGGTCATAAACCTCAGAGGAAATGAGAAGTCAGGATAGACAAATTGATATCAAAATGGTAGATTGAGAAGTTTGAATTACCTGAAGAAGTCAGAACTAGATAGTACATTATAAAGTGAGACTGAGGACAACCTGTGGGATTTATTTGAGGCAGGGGATAAGAATAATATATAAGTGTTAAGTTACAGCCAAAATAAGGGAGAGTAGGAAGGCGAAAAAATTTCTTTTCTTTTGTCATAAGTTTGCCTAAGGCTTCCTGACAAAACAAAGCTGGTGAGAAAATGTTCACTGTTCAACAAGAAATAACACTGAAATAACAGTAACTATGGTACTGTACCAAAACGCATTAGGTTATTTATTCCTCAAAAGCAACACTATGAGTCAGGGCTATTGTTATTGGCATTTTATACAGGAGAGAATATAAACCCACATTTTCTAAAAGTCACACAAATAGTAAGGAATTCAAAATCTTAAGTCAGATATTTTTATTTCTTAATAGAAATTGTATTCAAATAAAAAACTTGAGATTTACAATTTAAATGAGGTAAAATAGTAAAATTCTCTAATAGTTAAGGCAAAGGGAACTTTTCTGATTATACGTATTGCTGAGAATCTTTTATTTCTACATAGATGGTTATTCCCAACTTCTTTTACTGGTTACTGACAAATATCTATTGTTTTTTACTCTTGTTTCTTGTTCTGCTTTTAGGAGTTTATTTTATTTATAATATATCTAAGTCCTTAACTTCACTTATGCAATTATTAGTTACTAGAGTCAGAAGCCACTTAGTACAGAACAAGGGCTTCTTGACTGAAGAAAAGTACCTACTGCCACCAGGATACCACCTAATAGTTTCTTAGTCTGTTCAGGCAGCTATAACAGAATGCCATGGACTACAGAGCTTACAAACAAGACTAATTTACTTCTCACCATTCTGGAGGCTGAGCAGTCCAAGGTGCTGTCAGCTCTGGTGTCTGATGAGGGCCTGTTCCCTGGTTCATAGATGGTTGTCTTCTCGCTGTGTCTTCACATGGCAGCAAGTGCAAGAGAGCTCTCTGGATCTTTTTTTTTTTTTTTTTTTTTTTATAAAGGCACTGATCCCATTCATGGGGGCTCCACCCTCATAATCTATTTACCTCCCAAATGCCCCCCTCCGAATACTAAAGGGTTAGAATTTCAACATAGGAATTTGAGCGTGACACAAACATTCAGTCTACAGCAAATAGTCCCCTGATTTTTCATTAGGCTTCCCTTGCTTTCTATTTTTGACATGGATAAGACCACCCATTATTAACTCTTTGCAATGTGTTGTGAGATTAGACACAGAGTCAGTTTTAAATCATAGTATTATTTTATGAAACTTGCTTTTCCTCCTATGATATAATTCCTTACTATTTTATGTGAGATTAAATCATGAAGAAGAACAAAGTATTTAAGATAAAAAATCTGGGCCGGGCGCGGTGGCTCACGCCTGTAATCCCAGCACTTTGGGAGGCCGAGGCGGGCGGATCACGAGGTCAAGAGATCGAGACCATCCCGGCTAAAACGGTGAAACCCCGTCTCTACTAAAAATACAAAAAAATTAGCCGGGCGTAGTGGCGGGCGCCTGTAGTCCCAGCTACTTGGGAGGCTGAGGCAGGAGAATGGCGTGAACCCGGGAGGCGGAGCTTGCAGTGAGCCGAGATCCCGCCACTGCACTCCAGCCTGGGCGACAGAGCGAGACTCCGTCTCAAAAAAAAAAAAAAAAAAAAAAAGATAAAAAATCTGAACAGAAGTTTTTCAACAGAAGACATATAAATGGCCAACAGGAATATGAAAAAAATGTTCAGCATCCTACTAATAACTGAAATGCAAATCAAAACCACAATAAAATACCACCTTACTCCAATTAGAATGGATATTATGAAAAAGACAAGATAAATGTTGTCAAGGACATGAAGAAACAAAATTCATGCACTGTTGGTGGGAATGTAAATTAGTAAAGCCATTATGGACAAGAGTATGGAAGTTCCTCAAAAAATTAAAAATAGAACTACCATATGGTCCAGCAATCTCATAATGGGGTATATATCCAAAGAAAATGAAATCGGTATTCGAAAGAGATATCAGCACTTGTATATTATTGCAACACCTTTCACAATAGCCAAGATGTGGAATCAACCTTTGTCCATCAATAAGTGAATAGATTTAAAAAATATGGTTCATATACACAATGGAATAGTGTTTAGCCATAAAAAACAAACTCATGTAATTTTTTACAACATGGACAAACCTAGAGGACATTATATTAAATGAAGCTAGCTAAGCACAGAAGGCTCTAACTTAACACTTATATGTTATCCTTATCCATTTCCTCAAATAAATTCCACAGGTGGTCCTCAGTCTCACTTTATAATGTACAATCTAGTTCTGACTTCCTCAGATAATTCACACTTCTCACTCTACTATTTTGATACCAATTTTGGTATCATAATTTCTCATTTCCACACATGATTCCATATATGGAATCTAAAAATGTTGATCTCACTAGCCTTTGCTTTTATAGTCTGCTCTTGCTAGTTACCATACAGTGTATGTATGCTTCCACCTTTGGACTTGTATGTGTATTCAACTCTTCAGCCATAATTAATGCAAGCAGAGCCAAGATGAGATGTGTGTTTGTGTGTGTGTGTGTATAATATATATGTATATATTATATATGTGTATGTGTATATATTATATGTATGTATATAAGTGTGTATATATATGTGTATATACACACATACATGAGATATATTAGGAATCTAATCTCTGAAAGCTCAATTAGATAGAAATACTGGAGATCTGTTCAATTTACAGGAAAGATGCTTTGCCTTCCTTATGTCAGGTTTAGGACTATGGGAGGCTTAAGCTGAAGAAGGTTCTTTCATTGTACACTTGTTCTGCCCTTATTTTTGAAGTTTCTGACTTCTGAATGCTATATGAGAAGAACCATTTCGACAAAACATCTTACTGGAGATTAACACTCCCATCGTCATCTCTTGACAATGACTATTTCTTACTCAATTCATCTAAAAGTTAGTCATTTGAAATTTTGTCTTTTTGTTTGTTTAGCTTCAAGGTCTTTGGCAGGTGACATATTAGGGATGACTGAAATAATTCCAAAAGAGCCTTGTTTGAATAACTGTAAAGAAAGGTGTTTGAACTGGTGTGATACAAAATCATACAATAACATGGACATGCATTTAAAAAAATTCTGAGTTTATGAAATTACCTTCATTTTTTGGCACCAAATTGTTACATGAATTAAGTCAGATATTGACATATATATATATATGACATATGTATATATATAACATCAAAACATCATCTCCATCTCTGCTTCCATGCTCATAGTTCCTCTCTTACTTTGAATCTGTTGTCTTTCTTTTATTAGAACACTTGTGATTCCATGGAGTCCACTAGGATAATCCAGGGTGATCTCTCCACTGCTAGTACCTTACTTTAATCACATCTGCAAAATCCCTTTTGCTATGTAAGATAATATATTCACAGGTTTCAGGGATTAGGACATGGACACCTCTGCATTTGTATATTGGAGAGGGTGGGGCATTATTCAGTCTACTATTCCTTTGTTTGTGTTTTTCTGTATCTATTTTTTTCTATTCTCTCTAAATCTTGGTCCTTTTCTGTGAATATTGCATTTAAAACGAAATAAAATAACAGATAATCTGACTGGCCTTGCTGGTCTCATTACTGAACAGCTTTCTCATGTCATAGGTAAGCAGATCATCGTACAGATGACATATTTGACTGTGGACCCAGACTCCGCTCCAGTTAAGTTGTAGTCAGAGTTGGCAGGTCACATGACACAAAGCACATTAACCAGTGTGCAGAATTATATTGGCTATTTTGTTCTGATGGAGCTGTGAGTATGGCAGGCATTCAAAATCCAGTGGACTCTTTTCTAGTACTCAAATATTCCTTCACTGCTAACAAAACTGGTCATCCACCTCCTTGTCTGTTTGTCCAATTGATTCTGAATGAGCTGAAGTCTGATTAGATGGAGAAGGCAGCCCTTCCAGGTGGAAGGAGTGGCAAATGGAAAACATGAATGCATAAACCGTGTGGTTATTTCTGGGACATATGAGCTTTTCAGTACCGTTGTCATTTTGGAATATTGGTGATCATGGCAAGCCAGATGTGGGGGGTTTGAGAGGTAGAAGGCAACTAGGGAAAGTGAGACTGAGTGTTTCAGCATATTCCTTCCAGTGACACTGTAGAGCTAGTATTTATATGATGCAACATAGGAGGTATGAAGATTAGCTAGAAAACTTGTGATGATTCTTATAGGACATGCAGATTGCTAATATCAATGCAATAATAGTAATGAGAAAGGAGTAGTTAAGAAGCATAACAAATTGTGAAGAAGACTTATTGCCAGGATGTACTGCCTGTGAATTGAGGAGGAATTTCTGTAATTTTTACACTTTTTTTCTGATGGTGGTTCCATAAATGGGATTGAAAAAAAAAAAACAGTTAAAGAGTGCGGGCACATGATGAGATCAGGCTTTATGATGTTCCTGAGACTTATGCAAACATTTTTAAGACTATATCATAGCAGCTTATCCTCTTGCTAAATAAGAATGTTAGACAAATAGGTCAAATAAATGTAGTAGGTTGCTTTTCATGAAAGCATTATTCATAAGCTCCTGGTGACTAAGACATATAATTGTAGAAGTTTATGATAAAATGTATGGATTCAAAACCACGTAAGAGACAGTATACAATGGTGTCAGCCTAAGAGGGTTCTAGCACATTCCTTTAGAACATAAATTCATTCATGTGCACTGTAGTTATAACTAGTTAAAGTGGTAACTTGAAAACTATAAAGTAGTTATAATCACCACATATGTGTATGCCAAAAAGCAGGAAGGCACAGTATATAATTTGTATAGCAGAAAAATAATCTATAATATTTGGACAACAAAGAGTGAAGGGCCAAAACCAGTAAGAAGCTTTTAAAACTGATAAATGTAAGGTTTTGACCCCAAATCTAAAAAGACAACTCTCTGAAAGATTGGATCACTTAGGAATAGCGTGTGTTGGAGAGATTGCAGGTTTTCCCTGGCAGTGAAATCAGTATGAATCAATAGTGTAATGTAGCTCCAACCAAACTAATGGGATCATATATTTCATGAACGGAAATATAGTAACTAGATTGAAGAAGTGATTGCCAGGCACCTAAGTGTCTTGTCATTTCTGGGTACCATACCTTGGGGTGCATGGTCAAATAAGAATAAATTTAGAGAATGACAACCTGGAAAGTGAAAATCACTGTTCTTGAGGACCTAGGAGGTACCTCACACTTTATAACTGCTTTATGCACATTATTTCCTTTATCTAAATAAATATATAAAATCTGATAGGTGATGGTGATGAAATATCTATGAATGACACCAGGAGAGATATCCAGTGTAATTGTGCCAGAGCCTGTGCTGGTAAAATTACACTGATGACCCAACTCCCGTTTCCTGACCACACTTGGTCAGAGATTGTATTTGATCAACCCAACAGAAATGAACACATTCCTCAGAACCGACTCAAATTCACCAAATTTACAAAGCCAGACTTTACCCAATTTTTACCCAGATTTTATCTGGCTTTGTAAAGCTGGATTTTGAGTTGTAACTTTACAATTATAACATAGTGATGACCACCATATACGTGTATGCCAAAAAGCAGGAAGGCATGACACATCTTAATAATAGTGAGTTGGAAAACAAACTGCAACAAAAACTAAAACTGATAAGAAGTTAGACATTTCTGTTTTCTGCTAACCTATCTTACCACTGTCAAAGTAATATGCAGTAAGCCAAATTGCAATCAAAAGGGAGCTCAGGCCGGGCGTGGTGGCTCACGCCTGCAGTCCCAGCACTTTGGGAGGCCGACGGAGGCAGATCACCTGAGGTCAGGAGTTTGAGACCAGCCCAGCCAACATGGTGAAACCCTGTCTCTACTAAAAATAGAAAAATTAGTGGGGCGTGATGGCGGGCACCTGTAATCCCAGCTACTTGGGCAGCTGAGGCAGGAGAATCGCCTGAACCCAGGAGGCGGAGGTCACAGTGAGCCGAGATTATGCGACTGCACTCCAGCCCAGGTGACAAGAGTGAAAACTCCATCTCAAAAAAAAAAAAAAAAAAGCCCTAGTTCATGATATCCTTTCTGCAAAAAAGTGCTTATAAAGGCATTACCATTGTTTATGTGACTAAAATAAGAAATGTCTCCAGTTAACTCTGACACTTCACTAATTAGAGAAGACGTATGTTAATTTTAGAAATGTTACTGATATGGTTTGACTCTGTGTGCCCACCCAAATCTCATCTTGAATTGTAATCCCAACATGTCAAGGGAGGGGCCTTGTGGGAGGTGATTGGATCACAGAGGCGGATTTCCCCCTTGCTATTCTTGTGATAGTGAGTAAGTTCTCATGAGATTTGATGGTTTTCCAGTGTCTGGCATTCTTCACTTACTCTCTTGCCTGGTGTCATGTAAGACATGCCTTGCTTCCCCTTCACCTTTGCAATGATTGTAAATTTCCTGAGGCCTCCCCAGTCATTTAGAACTGTGATTCAATTAAATCCTTTTTCTTTATGAATTACCCAATCTCAGGTATGTCTTTATAGCAGTGTGAGAACAGACTAATACAGTTACTATGGAACAAAATGAAGAGTCCAAGAATTGACAAACTTAAGTTCCATATAGTCTCATCAGCCTGAACAATGTCTTTCTACATTAAAGGGAATCGCATATTTCTTTTTTAAGGCATTAAATATAGATTGAATTATCAGGTGGCAGTGTTATTTCCCTTTTATTCTGTTCTTTATTTGTAGATACTTCATGGTTGTGCTCCAAATTGTGCCTTATATCATTACTCTTTTGTTTTATATCTGCGAAAACTTAGACGTGGGTGAAGAATCTTTTAATTGGTGGCAGGCTTACAATCTATTTTTCTTCTGGCACTAGATTTCTGCTCTTATACCCTTCCTGCTTTGAAGACTAGTGGGCAAGAAGATTCAAATGGAGTTTAGAGTTTTGAGAAAACAAACTTCCGGAGAATTTAACTGCTATGTAATTGATATATATTGTTTCCACATTAAGTGTGCAAAGAGGCTACTCTCTTTGTTACGTTCTTTGTGTTCTTTATATTCTTTGACTAAAATTAATTCAGACATACAGCCATCAGCCTGTATAATCTTGGGCCTAACTGGGACTCCGGCCTCCACAAGGTCATATAAGAATTTGGGATGCTTACTTGGTACCATCGAAGATTGAAAGGTCCTTCATGTTTAGTCCATTATGGTTGCCATAGGTGTCTTTTCAATAGAAAGTGGTTTGATTCCTAAGATAAATGACTGTTCTGTGCCAACCACGATGCCATGAGTCTATGACTCCCTTCTTGCTCAATCCCAATAATCCTTGCCACCAAGCAGTGGGATGTAGTCTCTGATATTTACGTAACAGCTCCATCAATTTAGGTATTCACAAAACACAAGAAACAAAATATGTTTGGGTACATTTGCTTTGGTCTTGCAAACTTCCCAACCACAAACATCTGGCTAATATTATGAAAAAGTATATATATAGTATAAATAAATAATAATATATCTGTAATATTTTCTCAATATAGATTTCTTCAAATATTTGAAAGATTTCCAAACAGAAGAGGGATTCATTTTTATTCCACATGTGTCAAAGGGATTATATGAAGCCAACGGATAAGATGAAAGTTACATTGATCATTTTGCTAGGTATCCTTCTAACTTGTAAGGACTGAACTTTTTAGAAGTGTAAGGCTTTGGGCTAATCTATTTATAGTCTGGCAAATACAAGACCCTTTGAGAATTGTGAGAACTGTTGATTTGTACTAGCTTTCTTCTCAAATGTTAAGAAAAGTTAATTTATCTTAACCCTCATTGATGCTATTATTAGTTTTGATAATTGCTATCACTAGGCCACCTTAACTTGGCATTTTTTTCCCCTCTGTTATTTCTTTTTAAATGAAAATCTATTCTCTTCTAGATGCCACCTGTCCAACAAAACACGTTTTGTTCATTCTTTGCAATAAACTGACCAATCACTTTACAACAGTTTTAGAATTATTTGTAATATAAGTTCTTTCGGAAGATGTACTTTTCTCATGAGCCACATCATCACTTGACTTAAAAGCAGGCTGATTCTGTATGTTACCTGTTTACTAAAAGTTTAGAAACTCCTATTCTTCTAAAAATATTTCTTTTATGTCATTTTTATCCCTTTATTCCTAAATCCTTGATAATTTTGTGTCTGAGATTTTACTGTAATTTAAATGAAGCCACTAAAAGGACAGAAAAAGTAACTTAAGAAAACTGTTTTATATTTAATTTATATTTTATTCTTACAAATAAATATATAACTATTTATAGTTACATCATCATTGGTAAAATGAACTCACTTCAAAGTTCATATTTCATACTGAACCAACCAAACTTCCTTGTTATATTTAAAAAAGAAATCTCCTTTCAGTTTTAAAATTTTGGTAATTTGAGAATTTATCAACCAGGAAACCTAGCCTGTTGTAAATCAGAGATATAAAATCACAAAGCCTATGAAAAGTTGTGTCAAGCATGAAATTAATACTTGTGAGACACTTTTATGAGAAATATATTAAATTCAATAAGTTCCTTTGTTCCAGAACCCTGCAGACTTTAGTGAAATAACTATAAATTTATCTCTTTTAACCAAATGGAAATATTCGCATTAACATCTGTATGCTTATAATAAGTTTTATTATATATTGCTACATTTTTAAACGCTGAACATGATTAATTTGTTTTTACAAATCTTGTTTTCCTTGGGTATGTGCAATTATATCATACTCTATATTACAATTTTTTTGTTCTTTATTATGTCACTTTAATTCCAGAACTTCAAACATTTCACTGGGCTGTGCTTTAACTGCTTATAATATGTGACATACTATTGGTGGAAAAATCCATCTTGACACATTAATTACAATATCAAGTTAAAACTAAAATTCTCTAAAATTTTGTTTTTTCCTTTTTTAACATTTGTTCCTTTTTTCTCTTTTTTCCTTTTATTTTCTTTCTCACATATACAAAGCAACTATCTACTTTGTAACCTATATTTTTATTTTAGGCCAATTTCAAGAAAACTCAAAATAAACTATGATATTCCTTTATTCATTTGACTAATACTTATTGATTTCCTGACATACACACGCAAGATGTAGTTTCTAATTTAAAGTTTTTTTGAAATATGCATCATTTGAGTTTTAAATATGGTATATGCATGATTCTGTGTTCAAATCCACATACGAAGACATCATGGACTGAAAAATGTGGACTCAGCAACTAGACTCTTTGAGTGAAAATTCGAGTTCTGATAGAGTGAACTGCACCACATCCATCTTCAGGTTCCTTATTTTAGCATGGAAATATTATTACCTTCTTCAAAAGAAAAAATATATACATTATAACATATTTTATATAAATACATAACTATACATATATAAAATGATATATAATTATAGTTTCATAATTAAATGTTATATCATATTTTATATTATAAATTTACACATGAACATTATATTACAGTTACATATTGTATTTATTAATATATTTCATGTATTATATATTATAATATATATTTCATATATATCAAGAGTACTTGAAATGCCACATATATTTATATATTATGATAAATTTTTATATTATAAAGAATTATTGGAATGACATATAGTGAGTATTCAATGCATTTTAATTATAATAATGATAATCTTTTTTCTTCGATTTCACCTCTTTTCCTTCGTCTTTCTCTCCTTACCCCTTACCCTTACCCTCATCCAAGCAAACAAAGATGTAGCAAATAAAGGTGCATATAAATCTGCCTTTGTGTAACAAAAGTAAAATAATTACAGCATAAAATAAAGGATAAATTTATAGCACATTAAAATAAACTTAGAAGGTAACAACTGCTTTTAAGAATAAACAACTGTTACAGTCAGTCACCAGTCAGCCTTTTAAATAAGGACTACTGCAGATGAGACTCACAAATAATATTTATGAAAAGAAAATAAAATACAGGAGAGAAATGACCATGTCCTGTCAACATTTTATAATTATTTTAGCTTCCTCATATTTGTTTCATTTCTTCCTAGTTATGAGAGGCACACACTGAGTTGGCATTAAATACTTAGCTTCCTATTATTCATTCTCTTGTGTGACACTCATCCCTTGAGTGTGGCTGAACTTACTGACTCATTTCTAATATACAAAATACAGCAAAAGTGTTGGTATGTCATCTCTAAGATTAGATGACAAGAAAAACCTGGTTTTTCTCTCTCTTGCCTTCTTTTGCTTTCTTCCCCACTGAGGGAAGCCAGCTGCCATGTTTCGAACTGGCCTAAGACAAAGACTGATGACTCTGGAAACCAGCGAGTGAGGACCTGCTAACAGCCGTATGTGCATGTATAAGCCAATTTCCCAGTTGAACCTTAAAATGTTTGTAGCGAGAGCTACTACCATGATTGCAGCCCAGTGAGAGATCCTGAGCCAAAGGCGCCCTTAGAAAGTATGAAATAATAAACATGTTTAAACATTATTTTATTAAAAATAAAACTATTAAAAATAAAACATTATTAAAAATAAATATTTTAAAACATTATTTATAATATTTAAGCCAATAAGTTTCGGAGTCATCCATTGTATAGCAATGAATCACTAATACATTAACACCATGTCTTTTTTGGCACTGATTAGCACAAAAATTCATAAAAGGGAAAGATTCTGTGTGCTTTTCTGCAGATGATGTGACCAATATCAGGTAGAAAAATTAGGATGACTTCTTGGTAGGCTAATTGGAATAGAGTCACATTAAGTGCATCATGAAATTGCATAGTGGGATACAAGTGTGCCTTTAGTTTAAGTATGGACTTAATTAAAAGGGAATTAATTAGGACAGAATGTTATAGAAGAAAGTGGAATGAAATGGAAGAAAATAAAAGAGGAGAGAACAGAATAGGAAATATCTTCTTGTTTGCAAGTAATCAAGATAAGAATTGGCTGTGGGGTGTGTGTGTGTGTGTGTGTGGTGTGTGTGTGTTTTAGAGGTCCTAAGAACATGCACGAGTTCAGTGAATTGCTGGAGGACCCACAGTACTCAAAGAATTGAGTATAGCTTAGTATTAATAAAATATAGCTCACAGTCAAAATTAATAAATTAATTAATCAAAAAGGTGTGAGGGCTGAATTTTTGCTGAGGCGGGCAGATCATCTGAGGTCAGGAGTTCGAGACCAGCCTGGCCAACATGGTGAAACCCCGTTTCTATTAAAAACACAAAAAATTAGCCAGATGTGGTGGCATGCATCTGTAGTCCCAGCTACTTGGGAGGCTGAGGCAGAAGAATTGCTTGAACCCAGAAGGCGGAGGTTGCAGTGGGCTGAGATCACGCCATTACACTCCTACTTGGGCAATAAGAGTGAAACACCATCTCAAAAAGAAAAAAAAACAGAAAGAAAAAAGAAAAAAAAAGAATGTAGGCATAGACTTCCTCTATTCTCCTCAACCCCCTTCCCCATTACACAAATGAAGATGTCACACATCATGAGGTTCTTCCTTTAGCATCACTATACAATAACACATGTGCCATGTTTCTACCCAGAAAAGCCTGGGAGTGTCTGAGTCCAAGGTTTTTATTAGAAGTCAGTCACATAGAAGCAAAAACCAGCCACAACTACTGGAATTTCAGACTTCAGGAAGGAAAAGAGGTGTTCAGCAGCCCAGCTTGTGAAAAACAGCCAAGTTCTAGGCTGCTATCCAAGGGCCAACCCCACAAAGGGAACTTTTGAAAGTAGCCACTTCAGGTCTTCTGTGTTAGCTTCTTCCCCACACAGTATGTCTACATTCACAACTGCAAAAATGGCCCTATTATATGTTATTCCCCTCTATGTGCCCATGTGTTCTCATCACTTGGCTCCCACTTATAAGTGAGAACATGAAAAATTTGTTTTTCTGTTCCTGCATTAGTTTGCTAAGGATCATGTCCTCCAGCTCCATCCATGTTCTTGCAAAGGACATTATATCATTCTTTTTTATGGCTGTATAGTATTCCATGGTGTATACGTGCCACATTTTCTTTATCCAGTCTTCCATTGATAGGCATTTAAGTTGAGTCTTTGTCTTTGCTATTGTGAATAATGCTCCAATGAACATACATGTGTATGTTTCTTTGTGATAAAACAATTTATATTTCTTTGGTTATATACCCAGTAAAGGGATTGCTGAGTCAAATGATATTTCTGTCTTTAGATCTTTGAAGAATTGCCACGTCTTTTCCAATGATTGAACTAATTTACACCCCCTAAAACAGTGTGTAAGGGTTCCTCAAGAAATAGCTATTAACAGGAAATAAGGCTGGGCATGGTGGCATACAACTGTAATCCCAGAACTTTGGGAGGCTGAGACGAGTAGATTTCTTGGGGTCAGGAGTTCAAAACCAGCCTTGGCAACATGGCGAAACCCCATCTCTACAAAAGGTGCAAAAATTAGCCAGGTGTAGTGACATGTGCCTGTAGTCTCAGCTACTTGGAGGCTGAGGTGAGAGGATCAATTGAACCTGGGAGGCAAGGCTGCAATGAGCTGTGATTGCACCACTGCATTCAAGAATGGATGACAGAGTGAGACCTTGTCTCAAATAAATAAATAAAACAAAAAACCACCAACAACAAAACATAACAGAAAATAGGTAATAATTGGGTAAGAATTATTTTCTCAGAAATTCAGTTAATCTAAATGTCAGAAAAATATTAGGTAGACATTACCAGAGGTGGTAGAACATTCAGATTTCACAGAATTAAATTTTAATAACATTGATTTACATCAGAATCAAGAATGTACACAACTTATCATACTGGTCTTCTGCTTAATAAATAACAATGTAAAAGATTAATCAAATTTATAATCAGGGGCAATAACACTGAATGACTCTTGAGATTAAAAATTTCACAAAGTAAGAAGTCATCCCTGAAGCAAGAAAAAAGGTTACTTGATCACAGACTCAGAGTGGGCGAGCATCAGGAAAGGTAAGAGGAGAATCGGTGTGCCTCTGTGAGCACGTGCATGTACACAGGAGATGTGTCCGTCAGAAGAAGGCATCATAACCTCCTTCCTTCGATTTGTTAGGGGCCGTACACAAAAATCAAATATTAAAAGCTATCTTCACTATGCCAAGGATCATTAAATTTATCCCATTAGACAATGATTCTCAAGCTTAATAGATGTATTTCAAGTGACTATATTACTATTCACTTGAAATGTTTTAAGTTTATTTAAACTTATATAAGGAAAAATTTTAAAATAGCTACAACAGTACTGTGAATGTAAACCTCATTATCACTTGCCATACATAAAAGGTATACTTTACAATTAATATTTCAAAACAGCGTTTCAGAAATTTAATTAGGAATAGCTGCCTGCCAATGTCTCTGGGATAGAAAACATACTCTTTTTGCAAGCAGGAAAATACAATAATGGAGTTTATAACGGGACCAGGCTGTATTGGGTCTAGTAAGAAGAAGCAAGTAGAGGGAAGTAGGATGAACTGGTAGATTGATGAGTTTGCCATCCAAGTAACAAGCCATGATCGTTTTAACTAGAACAATTTTAGTAGGACTTTGAGAACAATTTAGGAAGGAAAAAGTAGTAGCAGTTAGTGGTGACCAATTTAATCTGGATGGGTGGGTGAGGAAGAAGGAAAAAGTAGTGCAGAAGATGAGTCATTGTCCAAGGTAGGAAATATATAAAGTAGAGAAAGTTAAGGGGAAGGTGAAAGAGTGTTAAGTGTGAACTAGAAAGTAGCAAAGTATAGCAAGAAACTAAAAATTCAAGTTGTGGAGTCAGGACAGAGGTTTACTCTATCAAGAATACTAAACTTTAGAAAGAAGTCTATACATTGTAACTAAATCATAGCTGTAAATCTGCTAGTGATATAACATTATTTGTACAGGAAGATGAAAAAGGAAAGCATATCAGTCTTTGAGAAAATTTTACAAAAACTAGATGGTATATTTTATGAAAAAATGGTAGGCTGAAAACCTTTATATATAGTGGCAATGTATGACACAGTAAGATTAATACATATAAATACAAATGTTTAATTCTTTATATAAATATATAGAGAAAAATAATCAGGACTGCCCTCAGACCAACACAAAAAATATGAGAGACACTCTTCCAGTGAGTGAGGCATAAATATATATTTCTGATTTTAAAATCATTTGGAGAGATTTATCAGGAGCAAACTTGCCTTGTTCTGATGGGAAAAAAAGCAGGGAGGAGAATCGCTATAAAATAATAAAATGATTCAGGTCTCATTGTGGGCACATATCTTGCTTACTCCCATGACGCTTTGAGCCCCAACTCATTGTCAAATTGTGGTACTTAAGAAGTCATTTGCTTCATATTATTTCACAGCCCCATATACAATTTGAAAATGTCTTACATTTGGGCTAGGACTGGTCACCCTGGCTACTTCTTTTGTTTAGCAGATTGGGCACATTTGTTTAAATATCTAATATTAAACTAATCACAAGTCCAACAGCATCATATGTTACAATCATTTTGAGCTTAAAATTTTCTCAAATAATTCTGCAATGAAATCATCTGACTTTACTCCCTGAAGTTGTGAGTTGCCAGTTGTATAACTCTAGAAAGCCTTTATTCATAATATTATTTTTAACTCACCTACCTGAGAAAACTAATTTTCAGTAAGTTATCTGATTTTAACAAAGTCTATTCTAACTCCATTTTCTACCGGGTTTATTAAAGCCAGTGTGAGCCGTGAAACTAAGCAAAGGTCGAGGGAACTGAGCTGAACTCATTACCATTCATCTCACAGCTTTGCCTTTACCTCAGGATGCAATTCACTGGGATAGTGTGTCTCATGTATTTATAAACAAAGTGGATCTTTTCCATGGTATTTTATGAACATTACTACTGATACAACATTTAAAGTGGCACGTGCATATTTATAAATATGTTACAACATTAAAAAGATCCAAAATGTGGCTTCAGTTTTGAGCCTAGGTCCTAAAAGCAAAACCTAGTCATTTTCATATGATATTGAAATTACCAAAATTTATTCTTTGCATTGTATTATGAATTAGCCACACAGCATTCCTTAATTTATATAAAGCAATAAAATGGCACCTAGATCTACATCCCTTTGCTTTTATTTCATCCTTGAAAAATGAGGAGATCCAGATATAATACTTTTTAAATGTAAGTGAATGTTGCTAGCAGGAAGTATTTAGAAGTAAATGAAAGTTTTTATTTAATGTATGTGAATGAATATTCCATCATTGATTTGTTTGTTTCATTGTGAAGACTTGACATATGCCCTCTAATGCATGTTCTAGGTATGCTGCTCCACCAAATCCTGTGCATGGTTTCCACATACGATATGTAATTAAAAGCAGGTAAGAAACAAGCAGACAAATGATAATCCTTTTTCAAAAATTTCTTGGAGGATATCATCAAACTGAAGTCAAATTTATGATTGTCAATGAATAGTTAACCTAGGTCATAGATAAGAATCTCAAGGATCAAAGAAACCTATTCTATTAGTCTGTTTTCACACTTCTGTAAAGATATTACCTAAGACTGGGTAGTTTATAAATAAAAGAGGTTTAATTGACTCACAGTTTTGCATGGCTGGGAAGGCCTCAGGAAACTTACAATTATGACGGAAAGCAAAAGAGAAGCAAGTACCCTCTTCACAGGGCAGCAGGAGAGAGAGAACGCTGGGGAAACTGCTACTTTTAAACCATCAGATCTCATGAGAACTCTTTCACTATCATGAGAACAGCACGGGGGAAACCACCCCCATGATCCAGTCACTTCCCACCGGGTCCTACCTTGGGCACCTGGGGATTACAATTCACGATGATATTTGGGTGGGAACACAGAGCCAAACCATATTATTCTTCACCTGTTCCCTCCCAAATCTCATGTTCTTTTCACATTTCAAAGCCAATCATGTCTTCCCAACAGTCCCCCAAGGTCTTAACTCATTGCAGCATTAACCCAAAAGTCCAAGTCCAAAGTCTCATTTGAGACAAGGTGAGTCCCTTCTGCCTATGAGCCTGTAATATCAAAAACAAGTTAGTTAATTCAACAATACAATGTGGGGTACAGACATTGGGTAATGGGGAATGTTCCCATTCCAAATGGGAGAAATTGGCCAAACAAAGGGGCCACAGTCCCCATGTAAGCTGGAAACCAAGAAAGTCAGTCATTAAATCTTAAAGTTCCAAAGTGATCTTCTTTGCATGTCTCACACCCAGGACACACTATTGAAAGAGGTGGACTCCCAAGGTCTTGAGTACCAATTTCTTTTCTAACAATTTTCTTGAAAAATTATCTTTACCATTTCCTCCAATCCCTTGTCTGCTATTCAATAGTATCCCTAGAAGCTTGGATCCCTCCCCTCACCATCCTTTCATGGGAAGTGCATTCTGGCCGAAGAAGCAGGGGAAATTAATAGATTCAGTTACTCTGGACTAAAGAGTACAGAACCTATTAGGGGGCAATTGCAGTCACTTACTTCCAAAGGAAAGCTGCCCATTACTGCTGAGAATAACAGCTAACAAAGCTTTTCAGTTCTAGGTTGGAACTAAAATGCAGGAAGATAGGTCAGTGCAAGGGGAGAAATGAGAAATAAGAGTCCTGTGGTGGGAGGAGACTTGGGGGTTGTTGGCTTAGTAACTGCAGAGCCAAAGAAATGAAATAGACAGAAAGAAGAAGAAAAGGGGCATCGGCAAAAGCCTCATCACAGTCATATAAATTATACTTATCCTGTGCCCCAGGCACTTTCCAATTTCAATTCCTGTTTTTGAAACTGAAAATGTGTATCAATTCTAGACCATGCAAAAATATTTAATCTTTGGGATGATTAATGAGATTAGATTTGACCAAGCTTCTTGCCACGGTTAGGAGCTGTAAAGCTTTGCTTAGAAAAATCAAGATTCATTTTTTTCTTGAGTGCAGCACTTTGAATAACATCGTACAAAATTGGAATGCACACTTTATATTTATAGAGGATTCAAAATATATTTAAAAATGTAACAACTCAAGGATTTGAAATAATCAGCTGACTTATCCTGATCATGCACAGTTCATTCAAATAGTCATTCTTTTCATCAGTGTGTCACATTTATAGTGAAGAGAGAGGACTTATAGGAATGGGTAAGGTTATAGGGTGTTTGCTTTTCCTCCAGTACTCCTATTGTGTCAGTAATGATTGTGTTTCAGCTGACAGTGAGCTGTTCCTATTACTGCTAAAATTACTATTTACAGACTACTAAAGCAAATATTTATACCACAAGTATTTGGAAAAGTTCTTTTATAAAAGTCATAAATAAATATTTGTCTATAGATCACACTTAAAAAAAAGAGAGAAACAGGGTCTCATTCTGTCACCTACGCCAGAGTGTAGTGGTGTGATTATAGCTGATATGGTTTGGCTGTGTTCCCACCCAACTCTCATCTTGAATTGTAGGTCCCATAATCCCCACATATCGTGAGAGGGACCTGGTGGGAGGTAATTGAATCATGGGGGCAGTTATCCCCATGCTGTTCTTGCGATAGTGAATGAGTTCTCACAAGATCTGATGGTTTTATGAGAAGCTTTCCCTCCTTTGCTCTGTACTTCTCCTTCCTGATGCCCTGTGAAGAAGGTTGCCTTTCTTCCCCTTCACCATCCACCATGATTGTAAGTTTCCTGAGGCCTTCCTAGCCATGCAGAAATATGAGTCAATTAAACTTCTTTTCTTTGTAAATTACCCAATCTCACGTATTTCTTTATAGCAGCCTGAGACTGGACTAACACAATAGCTCACTGCAGCCTTGAAATCCTGGACTCAAGCAAACCTCCCATCTCAGCCTTCTGAGTACCCAGGAATACAGGCATGTGCCACCATACCGACTAATTATTTGTTTGTTTCTTTTGGTAGCAACTGGGTCTGGTTATGTTACTCAGGCTGGTCTTGAACTCCTGGCCTCAAGTGATCCTCCTCCCTTGGCCTCCAAAAGTGCTGGGATTGCAAAAACGAGCCACTGTGCCTGGCTAGATTACACATTTTAAAAGCCAAAAGCCAGCATTAGCAAAAACCAGTTTGCTTATTTTAAAAACCAAAGCCACCAATTTGTCATAAGCAATTTTTACACTGTTATAAAGAAGATGAACTTATACATAATTTATTTAAAATGTATTAAATGTGTACTATCAACCAAATTCTGTGTGAGGAACTAGGGATATAAAGGTGAAAAATTAATTTCTCTTTCCAATTACCAGTGTATTAGTTGGTTCTCACACTGCTATAAAGAACTGCCTGAAACTGGGTACTTCATAAAGAAAAAAGGTTTAACTGACTTGCAGTTCCACATGGCTGAGGAGGCCTCAGGAAACTCACAATCATGGCTCAAGAGAAAACAGGCACATCTTACATGGGGACAGGAGTTAGAACGCATGTAAAAGAGGAACTGTAAAACACTTACAAAATCATCAGATCTCATGAGAACTCACTCACTATCACAAGACCGGCATGGGGAAACTGCCTCCATGATCCAATCACCTCTACTAGGTCCCTCCCTCGATGTGGGGATTATGGGGATTAAATTTCTAGATGAGATTTGGTTGGGGACACAGAGCCAAACTATATCAACTGGGGTTATTGTTTTAAGTTTTGTGAATGATTTACTAATGTTTTGATAAAGTTGTCTGATCCAATAGGTAGCTTAGAATTTACAAAACAATTAAATGCATTTTTTTTAGTGTATATAACTAGGTACACATGACCAAAATCTCCATTTAAGTCCTCATCAAACATAAAAAATGTCCTTTGTGAAATGTATTTGTTTATAGTGAAAATATTTTTCCCATATGTCTGAAACATATTTAAATATAAATAGTTTGAAGGCAGCCATTTCTGCATTTTCGCTTCGTGTTTCTCAACTAGTAGGCTTTGATAAACATCAAAGTGCTATTGCCGAAGGAGCAGCAACATTTAGATCCCAAGGTAGAGAAAAACTTAGTTGTACAAACTTCCTTCAGGATTGAAGCAAATATACATCATTAAAAATAAAAATAAAAATAAACAGAAAATGAACCTTAAAATTGCACAATAGTTTTTTAGTAAATATCAAAACATACATTTTCTATATTATTTTAGTGAAGAGAAATTCTGGACAGCCTTTATATCTTTTACTTGGTAGATATATTCCTTGTATAAAAAGTGTTTTTTATTCTAAATATAAAATTGTAGTTTAAAAGCCACTCAACAGTTGAAAGACATATTATCAATTAAGTTAAAAAACTGACCAAAAAACCCACAGATTTAGGAATGTACTCTTAAGGACTTTAGTTTTTGAATTTTCATTCTTTTTAAGAAAACTATATTTCAACCAAATTATTTCAATTATAAAATTTGTTAAAATAAAAGCTGTCTAGAGAATGATTAAAGTTTTTAATCTTTGAAATTGATCCTACATACTGATTAAAAATAATGTATTTTCTTGAATAAAAATAGAAATAAGAGAAATTTAAAGTTGACAAATACTGTCACTTAGGAATATGTTTTGCTTTATTGATGCCAAACACATTATATTTATATAATTCAATCCACTTCTAATTTTTATTAGTTCTCATAGTTTGTTGAGGGAGGAATGCTGAGCCCCTTTTCATAGAGTTGGAATAATTCAAGAGTAGACTAGAATGACTCAAACAGTGGGAGATATGTATAGAATTGTCTCAGCTCTTTCCTCACTTTCTTTTATATATCTACTTGTAGCAAATGTAGATTTTCTTTCTTCCTTACTATGAAGAGAAATTCCCCATGGGAAAGGCCTCCATTTTGTGAACTCTGTTAGTAACTTTTACAATGTGTTGATTAATGGGAGCATTGAGATAGTAGCAAGCCCACAAGGCTGAAACACCTAAACTACATTAATCATCATCAACAACAACAACAAACTGAATGAAAACATTATCCACATTTTAAAAGTTTTATAGCTGTGAATTTTTTTCTAAATATATGATGAGACTTATAAACAAAAAAATGTAATATCTGGCCGGGCATGATGGCCCATGCTTGTAATCCCAGCACTTTGGGAGGCTGAGGTGGGCTGATCACTTGAGGTCAGGAGTTCGAGGCCAGCCTGGCCAACAGGTGAAACCGCATCCCTACAAAAAATACAAAAATTAGCTTGGAGTGGTGGCACACTCCCAACTACTCGGGAAGCTGGGGGAGGAGAATTGCTTGAACCCAGGAGGTGAAGGTTGCAGTGAGCTTAAATCACAGCACTGCACTCCAGCCTGGTTGATAGAGCGAGACTCCATCTCAAAAAAAATATTGATATATTTATGGCAAAATCAACATAAGCAAATTAAAAGGGAAAATAACCAGCTGCAACTTACATAGAAATAATTTTTTACATCCTAGAATGCAATCAAAATTTATAATGACGAACACCTTTCCTTGAACCTCTGCCACCAGAAAAAGGGTGAAAAACATAAAAAGGCATTTACCAGAAAACACAAACACACACACACAAGCGCACACACACACATACATACACAGAGCCAAAAACCAAATGAAAGATGTTTTATTCATTGTCACTGAAAATTTAATGCAAGGATCCTAGTAATTTTAATAAAGTCATGTTTAACTAGTACACATCTATCCCATAATAATAATAATGTTATTATTCTTACTCATCCCAAATAATCCAGACCCAAAATTAGAATTCATGAAGTCAAAGACTATTTCAGTAACTCTTATGAGAAAAATTATGTCTATCCTAACCTAAAACAACTAAATAAGCTTCACCAAAACAATGTATCAACTGAATAACACCTTATAAATAAATAAATATGGATTATACACTAAGTGTAATGCAATGAAGATTTGTGTCACTCACCATAGAAGGAAGAGGGTGGTATTTGGTAGAATGGAGTAGAAGGGAATCATTCTTTGGAAGATTTTTCCTCTTTCTGCATTATTTCTTCACTAGATTTTTTTTCTGTTTTGGGGAGTAGTGGGGTAGCTCATAGCTATCTAGCACCTAAACTTCTCTTAAACATAAAGTTATCACACCTAACTTTAGGACACCACAATGATAAAAGACTAGAATCCTTGGAAATGTGGAAATCATGCATATTAAAAAATGGAGGTGTGGAAGACAATAACTCTTCAACATTTTTACTTGGTGTATACATGTTTAGGGTTGTGGGAACAGAATGATACATAATTCAAACATGTTCTATATGATATTTCTAATTAGAAACTTATCTTAATTGGTGGTGTGTCTTTGCCTGAAACTATGTCCAAATGTTACTTCTTAGAACTTATTAATTTATTGTGTTTTGGGCAATGAAAATATTGATAATAAAGAAAGAACCATTCTGACATAAGGTTGTAAACTGAACAGTAAGATACATACCAAATTTAACACACTGATCACAAATTACTTAACTGATTTTAAATACACTCGTCTTTATCACAGTTCTAAAATTTCTCACAACCCCCAGATCATTCCTATTTTTTTCTAGAAGAATCCTGTTTCTCTAACTAAATTTAGAATAAACTTCTTTCTGAAAATCCTTCCTCATCTCAGAGTGTTGTTACACAGATTTCCTTCTGTGCCTATAGAGCTCTGTGTACGCAATTATCATAGGCATTACCATATTGTACTATAATTGCCCATCCCAGCCTTCTGCAATTCTATACACATGCACACACATACACACACGCACAAAGTCTGTGAGCTCCCTCAAGGACGGACAGGGATCATTTATTTAATCCCGTGTGACACTAGTGTTTCTTAAGTAGTAGGTGCTAAACATCGTGTTGAATTAATTATTAAATAACATAAGTGATCAAAAATATAGTCATGTAAAGTGGTAGAGTACCCAGAGCTTTATAATTATTATGTTTATTTGTGGTGGGTGTGCAAGTTTACTATGTAATTAGTTAACCTGTCCAAGAAATAGATAAATATCCTCACTCCATGTACATGCTGACCGTTCCTGAACATGCAGTGTAAGTGTATTAGTCCGCATTCATGCTGCTGACAAAGACCTACCTGAGACTGGAAAGCAAAAGAGATTTAATTGGACTTACAGTTCCACATGGCTGGGGAGGCCTCAGAATCATGGCGAGAGGCAAAAGGCACTTCTTACATGGTGGCAGCAAGAGAAAAATGAGGAAGAGGCAAAAGTGGAAACCCCTGATAAACCCATCAGATCTCAAGGGACTTATTCACTATCACAAGAATAGCATGGGAAAGACCGGCCCCCAAAATTCAATTACCTCCCCCCTGGGTCCCTCCCACAACACACGGGAATTCTGGGAGATACAATTCAATTGAGAGCTGGGCGGGGACACAGTCAAACCATATCAGTTAGTATGAAGAATAATGAGACCATATAATAAATAAATATATATGTAATTCATAGTACATGTAAAATATTTTATTTACATCTCAGTTCACCTTCTCTTTCCAACTTTCTACAGAGCTTCTCATGAAGTCAGTCTACACAATGTTGTTAATCTCACCGAAAAGGAAAAGTTATAACATTTACCCCAATGTTAATATTATCCAGTTTTTTTTTGTTGCCCAATTATATTTGTTTTAGTATAAAATTACTCCTGTAATTATTTAATATTTTAATTTTCCAAATTAAAATGAAGATATTTTATTACGTTGGTTAAAAGATAAATTTTAGTTTGTTACCTTGGCATGACAGACCCAGGCTTCTCTGTTCCTGAAATGAGATTTTCAAGTATATCATTGTGAACCACTATGAGCCTAAGGTAATGTTATGGACTGTGATTTTGTGTCAGTGATATATTGATTTCAGAAATGACACAAATCTAGTTTTGACCGTGGTATCTTTTAACCTGTAACTCCTGTGTAACAATGATAAATGTTAAGGTTATAACATACCTCCTGCTGTCCAGGCTGATGCATCCAAGCACAACTAGGTCAAAATTTCACTTACGTTGAGAAAAACCTGTGCTTTTTGAATTTAATTCATTGGAGAAATAATTGCCCATGAGCTGTATGTGTGTGCATATATGTGTGTGTTATATAATATATATATTCTAATATATGAAATATGTATTTCACATATATATAGATATTATATAAATATATAAAACATTGTTTGTTTATAATTGTGACTTTTATTTTAGAACCAGGAGGTACATATGCAGGTTTGTTACATGGGTACATTCTGTGACACTGAGATTTGAGATGCAAACGATCCTGTCACCCAGGTAGTGAGCATAGAATTCAATAGGTAGTTGTTCAGCCTTTGCCCCTCTTTTTTCTCCCCACTCTAATAGTCCCCAGTGTTAATTGTTCTCATCTTTATGTTCATGTTGTATTAGTCTGTTTTCACACTGCTGATAAAGATATACCCAAAACTGGTTAATTTATACAGAAAAAGAGGTTTAATGGAGAACTCACAATGTGGCTGGGGAGGCCTCAAAATAATGGTGAAGGCAAGGAGAAACAAGTCATGTCTTGCGTGGATGGCAGCAGGAATAGAGAGCGATTGTTCAGGGGAACTCCTCTTTTGAAAACCATCAGATCTCATGGGACTTAGTAAATATCACAAGAACAGCATGGGAAAGACTTGCCCCCCATGATTCAATTACCTCCCATTGGGTCCCTCCCACAACACATGGGAATTCAAGATGAGATTTAGGTGGGGACACAGCCAAACCATGTCACGTGTGTACCCAATGTTTAGCTCCCACTTGTAAGGGAGAACATGTGGTATTTGGTTTTCTGTTCCTGCTTTAATTCACTTAGGATAATGGCCTCCAGCTGCATCCATGTTGCTGTAAAAGACATGATTTCATGTTTTTATGGCTGCATAGTATTCCATGGTTTATATGTATCACATTTTCTTTATTGAAACTACCATTTATAGGCACCTAGATTGATTCCACATCTTTGCTATTGTGAATAGTGCTACAATGAACATACATGTGCATGAATATATAACAATGAACATACATCTGCATGGATATATACCAAGTAATAGGATTGCTGGGTTGAATGGTAATTCCTTTTCAAACTCCTTGAGAAATCTCCAAACTGCTTTTCACAGGGGCTGAACTAATTTACATTCCCACCAACAGTGTTCCTTTCCCTCCACAGCCTTACCAGTATATGTTGTTTTTTGACATTTTAATAACTAGCCATTTTGATTGGAGGGAAATGGTATCTCATTGTAGTTTTGATTTGCATTTCTCTGATAGTGATGTTGATTATTTTTTCATATATTTGTTGGCTGTTTGTATATCTTCTTCCAAGAAGTGTCCATGTCTTTTTCTCATTTTTAATAGGGTTATATATGTTTTGTTTATTGAACTGTTTACATTCCTTATAGATTCTGGATATCAGACCTTTGTTGTGTGCACAGTTTTCAGTATTTTCTCCCACTCTGTAGGTTGTCTATTTATTCTGTTGATAATTTCTTTTACTGTGCAGAAGCTCTTTAGTTTAGGTCCCACTTGTCTATTTTTGTTTTTATTGCAATTGCTTTTGAGGAATAGTCATGAAGTTTTTGCAAAAGCCAATGTGCAAAATGGTGTTTCCTAGGTTTTCTTCAAGGGTTTTTAAAGTTTGAAGTCTTACATTTAAATCTTTAATCCATCTTGAGTTAGTTATTATATATGGTGAAAGGAGAGATCCAGTTTCATTCTGCATATGGCTAGCCAGTTATCCCAGCACCATCTATTGAATAGAGTTTTTTCCCACTTTACTTGTTTTTGACAACTTTTTTGAAGATCAGATGGCTCTAGGTGTGCAGCTTTATTTTTGGGCAGTCTATTCTGTTCCATTGGTCTATGTGTCTGTTTTTGTCCCAGTACCGTGCTGTTTTGGTTACTGTACATTTATAGTATAGTTTGAAGTCAGATAATATCATATATCTGGTTTTGATCTTTTTGCTTAGGATTGCCTTGGTAATTCAGGCTCTTTTTTGATTCTATAGGAATTTTATAATAGCTATTCCTAATTCTATGAAGAATTATATTGGTAATTTGATAGGAATAACAATGCATCTGTAGATTACTTTGAGTATTATGGCCATTTTAAAAATATTGATTTTTCCAATCAATGAACATAGAGTATTTTCTATTTGTTTGTGTCATCCATGATTACTTTCAACAGTGTTTCGTAGTTCTCCTTGTAGAGATCTTTCACCTCCTTGGTTCGTTGTATTTCTAGGTATTTTAATTTTTTTGTAGCTATTGTATATGAGATGGTAAAAAATCCACATCTTTAATTTCATTAGGATTCTTTCTAAGTGCTAGTATTTTCATAGTCACCATCAAACAGCCTTCTTAGTACCAAAGGAAGTGGTTTAAGATTGTGCTGTGAACTATGGAGACAAACAAACTTATACAAATACACTGACTGTGGATCCTGCATACAAATCAGGCATGGTTTCTGCATACCTTGCGTAAAATTTTGCTCTCATATACTTTTACATTTCTTAGTTAAGTTTAAATTTAGCTTATAACAGAAATATGTGCAACTTGTTTATTTAAAAAAAACGTGTGAGATACAAGCAGGAATTAAATTTATTTTTCCATTACAATAGGAAAACGACACCCCATTTTGAAGGTTAATTCTTTTATTCCTCGGTGAAATGAGTGAGTCCACAGCTTTTCTACACATTGCTTCCCTTATTTGGTCATTTTCAAATGAACTCCTTGGTGTCTGGTAGTTCACTCCACTTTTGAGGTTAGGTGTGATTCTGGGTGGTTTTTCAGAAAGTAGCTACTTTTTTCTTTGAACCGACATCATTCTTTCTTCATAGGACACCTTCTTGTCAAATCACAGTGGCCTTCTTGCTGTTCCTCGAGTACACGTGACTCATGGACTTTGTACTTGTTGTTCTCTATGTTGTGAATGATCTCTCAAAACCTCCCATGGCCAGTTCCATTTTTATTTCAGGTATTCTCTTCTTAAATATGATTTCTTCAAATTGAATTTCTCATGCTCTCCTATCTAATATAGAAACCCTACCACACCATATTACACATCATTCCCTAACACCTAGTTTCTCTCCTAGAGTCCTATTCACCACTACCTGAAATTATGTTAGATCGGGGTGATTTACCTGTTTAATTTGAGTGTCCCTAGGATTAATTAATTATGTCCTCTATAGTTGTCAATGTTCTTCAGAAAAAAAAGAACTAATAGAACATATATGTGTGCGTGTGTGTTTATATATATCATATACACAAAGAGAGGTTTTAGGGAATGAACTAACCTAATTGCAAAGGTTGGCAGGTCAAAAGTCTACAGAGTAGTCCAGCAGGCAGCTTACCTAGGGCAGAGTTAATATTGCAACTTGAGTCCGTAGGCTGTAAAGAAACTGGTCATTCTCTGATAAGGACATAGACATATTTTGTAAGGGGCTATTTTGTAAGTGAGAAAAATAATTAGAAATTAAAGTAATTTTGCATGAATTTAAAATAATTTTTACTATAATTGTTACTTCTGTTACAAATTGATTATATTTTGTTATATTTCTTGTAGCAATAGCATTTTCTTTTATAAAGAATAGAGACTAAAGGAATAAATAAAAATATTTTTTTCAGTTATAGGAGTAATAAAAAATTGTACATTGATCATGATGTTTATCCCCATCCTTTATCAGTTTTCTCATCTGTAAAATCAAAGTGTGGACTAGATTATTTCAACTGTTTCTTTAAGATCTGATACAATGGGCTTTTGTTAAGAACCTTCTCTTCTTTCAGGTTTTATATCCTTCTTCTATAAAATTTGTATGCTAATAATTGTTCATGTGCATCAGCCAAAGACCACTAAGAATACATTCAGCAAATTGGTTTTATTACTTGCTGCAATAAGGGAGACTAAAAACCTAGGAAACATTTGGTTTCTCAAAAAAGAGGAGTTGTTAGTGTAAGATATTTATACTCTTGGGGACAGAGAATGAGTCATAGAACTATCTTCTCAAGGATTTGACAAAATAAACCATGGACTTTTTGGAACAGTCAGTAGTCTTATCATTAAATAAAATTCGTTCATCTGTATTACTTTTAGGTTGTTGTCTCTTATCTTAGAATGTATGAGTCTGAATTAAATTGTATTATCATTTACTATGTTGAGTTTGAACTTAGATAATTTTTGATAAACATTATAACTTAGCGTGGTACAGTGTATGCATTTTGCAACTATAGTGCAAACAAATTTCAAATATTTCCCTTACAGAATCGCTACCAACAGAGACATTTTCACTTTATCACTATTGTGCTTTAGGATTATAGGAAATATTTAATGCTAAAATGTGAGTAAAGCATGTGACCTATAGTGGATGCACAATAAATGTTTATAAGAAACACAAATATTACTCACCAATTATCTAAAAAATGTAATATTAACAAACTAGGATCATATAGTTAAATGGGATAATAACACTACAAAATACAATGGAAAATACATTCTAAACTTGTTAACTAGCTGCTACCATATTATTAATTGCACCTCATAGGTATATGTTTTGGAAGTCATTTCTTTTCTTTAAATGATACCATGTAGCCAAAGGAAGCAAATAAATTAGCTTTAATATTTGTATTTAATCTAATGATATGTCAGCATTAGCAGGCTGATCAACATTGTATGCTATATGGATATATTGGTCTACTTTATTTGAATTTTTATGGTTGTAATGGACCAAAAAACTCAATTCTTGCCAACTGAAGCCTAAAATAAATATATAGATTCTCAATTATGGGCAATGTACAGGAGTTGCTGACAGAATCAAAGAAAAACATTGATAAAAAGAGGAGTCAGAGAATTCGTATATGTTTTCTTCCCCTGTATGCCAATCCTGTTTGCTTTTCTTTAATCTGTTGTCCTACTGTAGACCTAATGAGTATATGCTTATTAGTGTAGAGGTTTCAGATTTCTTTCTCCAAATCCTGTTTATCAGTTGAAGAAAAAGTCTCTTTTGGAATTAGTTTTTGGACAATACACAGGTGTAAGAATGGGATGCTTTAAAAGTTCACGCCTGGGGACATGTGAATATCTCTCGGTGAGTTACTTTGTGAATTACCTGATAGAAAAAATGAAAAAAAAAAGTCAGCGCAACCCAGTAAGTGCAGCTTATTTTATATGAACCATATTGTAAAAACTTGCATTGTTTGTGTGTACATATGTGTGTCCGTGCGTGTATCTTGTCTATTTAAGGAAACATTTTCAGAAACACTGGCTTTGAGTTTGGATTATATATAAGCCTAATTAAATGAGCCAGTAAGTGTACAGATTACTGGGTGCTCCTTCTATACTCCAAATTATCAAAAATCCTAACTTAGATTTCCATAGAATATCATAAGAAAATACTATTTGTATTGTTTTGGTTACCCACCCCACTCCCCCATTATATCCATCCCCAAGTCTCTTCATTTGCAGGGATGGGTGTAAGAAGTTTGCTGATAATATAGAACTAATAGGAGGATGGGGGTGTATTAGGGGTTTCCAGAGAGACAGAACTAATAGGATAGATGTATATATGAAGGGGAGTTTATTAAGGAGAACTGACTCACACAATCACAGGGCGAAGTCCCACGATAGGCTATCTCCAAGCTGAGGAGGTAGAAAGCCAGTAGTGGCTCAGTCTGGGTCCAAAAGCCTCAAAAGTAGGGAAGCCAACAGTGCAGCCTTCAGCCTGTGGCAGAAGGCCAGAGAGCCCTGGGCAAACCACTGGTGTAAATCCAAGAGCCCAAAGGCCAAAGAACCTGGGGTCTGATGTCCAAGGGCAGGAAGCATCCAGCACAGGACGGAGAAAGATAAAAACCACAAGACTCAGCAAGCCAGCTGATCCCATCTTCTTCTACCTGCTTTGTTCTAGCCGCGCTGGCAGCTGATTGGATGGTGCCCACCCACATTAAGGGTGGGTCTTTCTCTCCCAGTCCACTGACTCAAATGTTAATTTCTTCTGGCAACACCATCACAGAAATACCCAGAAACAATCTTTTAGCAGCAATCTAGGCATCCCTCAATTCAATCAAGTTGACACCTCTTAGTAACCATCACTGGGGGAAACTTCTTTTTAAGAAAAAGCTTTAAGTTGTGCATGTTGTATGCTTGCTTGCTTGTTTTCTGCAGGAGATCATACTGAAGGCTAATGTCAGAACAACCTAAGCGAAGAGAGGATATAATTCTTTAGCGAGTTATTCAAATATTGTAATTTTAAAATATTGCTATAAAATAATGATATTAGAAGAGGAACATCTAATTAGCTGTGTTAACTTGAAATACTTGTTTAATTTTATACTGGGATTTAAATTTCCCACAATTATAGGATGTCAGATTATTTAGTTTATCTTCTTTAGTTTATACCTAGATAATTTTTTAAAATGAGGTGCAAAGAATATAAGTGGTTTTTGATGACCAAATAGGAAATCAGTGGCAGAGACCAGGTAGTTACCATGGGTCCAAATCTTATTCATTTTTTTAATACTTCCCTTCTCTTTATAGATGATGATAGAGTAAAGAACTGAATATATATCTTCTCTTTGTTTCACATTAATGAAACATTGGTGTTTTGAGTTCCAATTACCTTTAATTTTTCATAAAACAAAACTTTACTTACTCTACAACTGTGCTAATAAAAATCACTAATGTATGAAAAAAATCACATTCTACACCTTAAACCCATCTAGATCATAGATGTGTTAAGGCTGTTTTCAATTCTTTCAAAATTGTGTCCCTGTGTCTTGGCTCAGTTCCTGGAATATAATAAACTCTCCATAACTGAATGGTTTTGAATGGGGTTTTTCAATGCAAAGTCAGTTATATTTATTTTGGAATACATTATAACACATATTTAGTTTCCATGGGATAGAGTTATCTAACTACAGTTTTCATAAAAATCAAATTGAAGATTTTTTCCTTCCCTAATGTGATTTTGACTGAAAATTATAGAAGAAAATAGATGTTATGAATTCTGTAGTTTATGGGAAACACACCTGAGATTAAGTAGCTGTAGTGAGTAGGAATTGATTTGAGTACCATCTTTCTGTACTATATTCTAGAAGTAGTAAGTATACTTAGATAATAATTCCAAAAACCATGATCAAATTTTCCTTGTCTTTTTTTCACTGAATTTATAACTGTAGACTTCATAATCACATTGAGTTGTATATGATCAGCATATAAAAAATACTTTCTTCTCTTTAATCATAGACCATAGTTTAAATGCTTATGTTCTGCATTGAAAATGTGAGATCAAAATGAAATGCTGCCTTTAAAAATGAGGAAATTCTAAAGCCCCCAGGTATAATTTATTATTTTTATATAAAGCTTTGATATAAGACAAAAATAATATTTTGTTTAACTATAGTTGATTATCATTGCCCTGCTTTTAAACAATATATTTTGAAAGAACTCGTAGGTATAATTTTGTTTAATACTACTCACTGCAGGTGGCTGGGTATAATTAGGGCTATTAATTTTGCTTCATAGCTTCTAGAAATAAGCAGCATAGCTACATTAAAAATCCATAAATAAATATTCCAAAGCTACCATAAGCCCTGTTGATTCAGGTAATTATTATATTATAAAATGTTCATCCTTTCTTTTCAGAAAAAAAAAGCCCTGTTATGACTGGGTTGAGTTTTGTTTAATTCATTTTACCACTCAGTGGACTCAATAGTTGCATCATGTTTTAGTTTATTTTCCAAGTTCAATTGAAAATGCAAACAGAACAGTAAGCACTATCATATCATAAAATAATGTTTCTGTGTTGAAGTGCAAAAGGAAAATAGTCAATCTGAAATGACTATTGATTAATAATATAATGTTTATATCCAATTAAAGAACATTCAAAGTCCAAGCTAATTTCAGTCTTATAAACATTTATAGATCTAAAGAAAACTGGGTTTTCATTTTGCCTTTTTTACCATGAGATTGTTTAGTATTCAAAAGATATCATGATTTTACATAAATTATGTTAAATATAAAATCAATCCTAGACAAGGTGGATTTTTAAATCCACAAACATTAGATTCAGTATAATCTATTTTGCCAACATTCTAATCATAGTCAAATACATGCAATGAGTGTAAAAGTATATAAGTGTGTTCTGAAATTTCTTATACATGTAAAAAATCACAAAAAATTGATTACTGTGTACCTACCACCTGCCATAAGGTATAAAATAATGTTGTCACTCCTCTGTATCCATTGAGTAATTGGTTCCAAGATCTCCTGCCAATACGAAAATCTGCAGATGTTCAAGTTCCTTAGATAAAATTGTGTAATATTTGCATATAACCTATGCACATCCTCCCATACACTTTAACTCATCTCTAAATTATGTATAATATCTAATACAAGGTAAATGCAATGTAAATAATTGGTACTATAATGTTTAGGGAACAATGACAAGAAAACAAGTTTCTGCATGTTCGGTACAAATGCAATCTTTTTTCCAAGTCTTGTTGAGTTGCTGTTGGTTGAATGCACAGATGTGGAACCCACAGGAGTTGGAAGGGCCAACTGGACATATTAAGCTGAAGTCTCTTAAGGGTCTGTTCCAGGGTCTCTTTTTCTCTTCTCCACTGGAATGTACTTCTAAAGTACTGTTTTAAATACAATGAAATTTTCAAATGGGAGTTATCATCTGTGTATCTTTCTGCCATCTGACATTGTCATTCAATATAATCTAATAATTTACCCTTATTGATAAATGCAGCTTGGTTTCATGCGTTTTCACTGCTGCACAGTTCCATTGTTTATATTGAGGTACTTATTTATCCATTCTATTGTTAATTTAATTTTTTTCTAACTCTAAATGAAGCTATGAGAAAAGTTCTTATGCATGTCTTTGTGCACCTGTGCAAATATTTTTCTAAGATATCTGTAAGTAGAATTTTCTGTGAGTGGTATGCAAATTTTAAGTAAATGCATATTGAAATTATTTTCTAAATTGTTTATTCCAATTTACATTCTCACAATTATTGTTTGAGTTTTTAATTGCTCTCCATACTTTCTAATAGTTGAAAATCAGATGATTATTTTGCCATTATGGTAGATGTTAAATTGTATCCTCATGATTTTCATTTTCAATTTCTTAATTCCAATGAGATTTAGCACTTTTTCAGAAGTTTATTGACCATTTTAGTTTCTTTTAAAATTACCTTCCTATATTCTTTGTCCACATTTTTCAACTTCATTAACCATTTCATTTTAGATTTGTACGTATTTTTTTACATATTATATTAAATACTTTTTTATTTTAATGTTTAATGCAGTTGACTTTCTGAGTATTACTTAATGTTTTGTGATCTGTGTATCTTCTTTAAGGAACTCTATATACTCTGAGAACATAAAAGCAAATACATGATATTTGCTTCTAAATTTTGTAAATTTACTTTTCTACATTTCTTATTACCCAGAAGTTTGAGAGGCATGCAATAGCAAAACAGATGAAAAAAAATCTGTTACCGATGGAATATCACAAAAACGCTTTTAAACATTAAAATCATGATATGTGATGTGTTCACATCCAAGTGTATGCACCACTTGATTTAAACATTGTTAAAAAATCAATCTGAAAATTCTTCTATACTTTATTAAAAATAATCTATACTGGAAGATACTAGTAAGAGTATGGGACTCCAGGTCTTCCAAATCTTCTATAAATCTGTGGATTGTACAGGCCAAAAGAGAGATATTTTTATATTCAACCAGGTGATTGACTCTCTCCAATAACAATAAAGAATTTCTTACATAAGTAATGATTACAGTAGACTAGACATATCATTATCTGCTACAACCATCATACCCATTGAGAATTATACTTAAATTTTGTATTTAGTAGACACTTTTATTCACCCCTTGGTTTATTGTTAGTGTAATTCAGCTGCTTCAGTTTCTAGGGGTGTGCAGTTTTTGTGTGGGCTTCCTTTAATAATGATGAACATGAAGCTGTCTAAGACCTTGTGATGAGGTAAGTAGAGACATGTTCCTTTAATACCATATTTTGAAACGTGCACATTGTTTAATCACAGGAATAAATAATAAATTAGTTATTCTTTCATTCAAGTTTTGATTGACATGGATATTCTAATGTATTTGTAATGTATTTATTAATGGTTCTTTCTTTTGACTTGAGAAAAAGACAAGCAGAATTACCTCAGTGTCAGTTTTTATGATATGCAAACACAGTATATGCTAATCCCTCCTTCTGGGACTCAATGCATTCCGTCGTCTTATCTCTTTAATGTATCTTAATCTGAAACAATTTCTCCGACTTTCTTTGTCTTTCATGATCTTGATATTTTTGAAGAGTACAGGCAAATTATTTTCTAGATTGTCTGACAATTTGAGATTCTCAGTTTCTCATGACTAGATTCAGGTTAGTCATTTTGCGCAGGAATGCCGCGGAAGTGATGTTGTTCTCCTTTTGAGGCATCATATCTGCAGAAATGTGGTGGCAGTTTGTCACTTGAATGATGATGTTCACTTTGATTGTTTATTAATGTAATCTTTAACATTTTCACTATAGAGATGATATTCCCCTTTTTAATTAATAAGCAATCTACGTGGAAATTGTTTGAGATTTTATAATACCATGTTCTTCATTATATATTTGCCCTCTAATTTCATTGTGCATATTTATGATTCTATGGTAGGGAAGAACTTTTGTATTTATTTAGTTATTTGTTTCTTTATTCAATTAATCAAGTATGAATTTATATCAGCATTCTGAAGAAGGAAATATATATGGAAAAGACAACAATTGAATTTAACTACAGATTGGCTATAATAATATATTGATGACAAAAGCTTTTCTTTTCAATAATGGTAGAATGGTTTTATGTGAGAAATATAACTAAAACATTAGAAATACAGGCATAAAATATCTCAAATATCCTCTTAAATAGTTCAGTATAAAATGCATTGGGTATTGAATAAGTGCAAAAACCTGAGGTAAAATCAAAACAATTAAAGAATCTGTATAAAGAGTATATTATTTTTTGTATGTGTTACTCTTTCAGTCTTCTAATTAGATAAAATTATTTTAAAAACAAATGTAAAAAGCACGTGTATTTACACACTAAACTTTCACTGGTTTTGTATCATAACTTTGTAAAACTCTTACATATAAAGTATAAAAATGTATTCCACAATTTTGTAAGCCAAAGAGAGCCTCAAGGAAACTGATATAAAATATTTTATACTTTAGCCAATTACTGCATAGGGGAACTGATTGAAGTTCTATATCTTAATTATTATTCATTCACAAACACCATTTTTTCTTTTTATATATTAGATTGTATAAGTAAAATTTACTGCATTTCATTTGGTGAATAAATGCAGTTAAATTTAGAAATGAAATGATCACTCAGTGCTTAGAATGAAGATGATCAAACTTTATTTAAACTTGGAAACACTGTAGCAAGTGAACATTTTCGCATGATGGGAAAAAGAGCCCATGAGTCCATCTTTAAGGTTTTCTACTCTTACTTTTATAGGTTAGAAACCAAAAGGCTAAACAAGTCACTATATAGAAGAGAATGGATTAACTGAACAAATTGTCAGAGGCTCAAATACTTAGAATAGTTCGTGAACCTCATGTGCAAAGACCATTGCTACTTTTTTCATGTGTTTGTAGGAATTTGCTTTCAGACATCTAATACTGTTAACAGAGTTGACCTTCATTTGTTTAAAAAATACTCAGTTATGTTAATTAAATTATGTACATGATAATCATTTTCTTTCACATTACTTCACACATGAAAGGGGGTAAACAGTGCTTTCTTTTATATTGTGATAATGATAGTTTCTGATCAATTTTGTTATCTGAACAAGGAAAACTGTATCACATAATAATATACTGTCCCACTATGTTAAATAAAATGTAAGACAGATTTTTATTATTTTGTAGATAAAGAAAGGTAAAATCTAGAGATGTGGTTCTCAGACTTTTATTCCTTTTTGAGACACACTTAAATTACCATGATGTTCCGTTATGAAAAGTCAGTAGACTGTCAAATTTTAACTCTCCAAAACAACACCTCTTCAAAAAAGTAAAGCTAAGTTTATTAGGCATATGGCATCAAGGCAGAACATCAACATGAAAAATTCTTATTCGAAGTATAAATGTAAGAATAGATGTATTTTTTTTTTAATTTTCAGTGTTCAGGATTCTGGGCTCAAGTGACTTAAAGAGGACATGTACAAGCAGGGAACTCCTTGGAAGTATGTAAAGTTCATGACATCGCAGTTTAGAATTTGTGTGCAGAAAAGATCTTGAAGCAAGTTGTGATAACTAAACTGTTATTTGAAAAGCAAATTGTTTGCTCAGATAAGATAACCATGGTCCTAATACAAGACATGTTTGCTCAGAAAAATTAACTCTTTATCAAGATGAATGTATTTATAGGAATTTCCTGACGCAAACAGTAAATTATTAGTTTATACTCTTATCTTCCCAGAAAAGAATGTTCTGAAACAAATGATTAAGTCAATTTGACCCAACGATCTTAGTTCTCAGTCCCAATCCTTTAGCTATGTGGATTCAATTGGTCTGATCACAGTTTTCAAGGTTATAAATGACTGTCTTCCAAAAAAAGCTGATGACATAACTTTCTGCCCCATTCAAGAAATAAGAATCATTAACACAAAATGAATTACTTGCCTGTGTTATTTTAATAAATAATGCTATTCTAGCAAATAAAATACAATAAAACTCAAATCACAATATTTTAATACTTTTTTAAGAATGACTGAGAATTAAATCTAACAACTAACAAATGTGTAAGATAAAATTAGATTTTTTATTTTGTAACACCAAGGGACAGATCTATGGGTAAGAGATTACTCCTATAATTATTATTACTTCTTCTCCATGGGACTCATGCATTTAAAAATTATTGATTTTCTTTATGTATATATATTGGAATAATTTAGGTCAAATATACACATAGATGCATGTGAGTTTGTACATATACACATTACATACATTTCGTAACTGGGTGATGTATAGGTTAGGTTTTAGACTTTGATTGCCAGTTTAACTACTAACTAGGTATTTTACCTGAATCAATTTACATCTCTGAATATACAATTTTTTTCTCTCTGGGAAACTATGACTTTGAAGTTCATAATCTTTCTTTATACCATTGGCACCTTTATAACACTAGGTTATGTGTGTGATTGTGTGTGTGTGTGTGTGTGTGTGTTTGAGAAATTACAAACTGAAATTTTGTAGAAGATTAAAGTACATATCAGTAACACATGCTAAGTCTGACACAAGGTTTTGTTTGTATTTTAACGGTTTTATGCACAAAATCTACTTTCTTCTTTTGTGATTTATTATACATTTTCTTAAAGATTAATCATAAATTTAACAATAGAAATAATTTGCAAATATTTTAAATCACCATTTAAGGTGTCAATTAAACTGACAGAAAAATTGCTTTTCCAGATGAGCAAGCACTTGGGAATAAATTGGTTTCCAGAAATTTCTTGAATCAAACAGTAAAATATTTATTAGTTTGCACCTCTACCTAGGTGTAAATAGTAAAACCTGTTCTGATTGGTAACTTCATAGGAGATTTGGCATATATAAGTTAAAGAGCAGACGTTACTGCTTATATTTATATCTTGGGCCTGTAGCACTTAATATTGTGGATAACCATTTACTTGTGATTATGAAAACTCCTGGGGGGCACACCGTGGCATGCATGCCCTTCACATAACTTTGTAAGGGTTTCCCTTCTCCAGGCATTTTCCGTTCTTAGCCGAAATAAGAATGAGTTGCTTTCAAGATGCTTTCATAAAGATTTAAAAGAAATTGACCCATCTGAGATAATTTTTAATATAACCTGCTCCTAGTATAAAACCCAGGATATAAATCATGAAACAGAATACTTCTTCAGTCTTCATGAAAAGCTGGGTGGCAATTTTATGCTCAGGTTTGTCCACTGGAGCTTTTCAAGATAAAGACGTGAATAAATACAAGTGACAAGTCAGGCATCTTTGAAGTGTCATTCATTAAGAAGTGAGAGGAAATATTTTAAACTATGACAAAAAAACAGTTATGACTGAGGGATAACATCATGTATGAGCTCTGTTTGTAAAATGATATAAGAATGCAAAACATATTGCTCAAACAACTGATATTTGCATGAGTGATGGAGAGTATTTTAAAATTTAATTTCCCATAAGGAACAAAATAATTGTCAATAAAAAAAGTGGGGTTTTTTTGTGCATGTTGTGGATCTGGATATTTGTGTTGCAGACGTATAGGATCATACCACAGTTGTATATCTGGTACACATTCAATTTCAGTTACTCAATTGCACACTACACTGTTTAAGATATCATTTTGAAAATATAATCTTCTTCTCTACAAAGAATACATCAGAATGTTTGACGTATTGATTTTTTAATTTACCTTTTTTTTTTTGTTTTTTTTTTTTTTTTTTTTTTGAGACGGAGTCTTATCCTGTCACCCAGGCTGGAGTGCAATGACATGATCTCAGCTCACTGCAACATTTGCCTCCCGGGTTCAAACAATTCTCCTGCCTCAGCCTCCCAAGTAGCTGGGATTACAGGCAGCCACCACCATGCCCAGCTAATTTTTGTATTTTTAGTAACAATGGTGTTTCATCATGTTGGCCAGGCTGGTCTCGAACTCCTGACCTTTTGATCCACCCGCCTCGGCCTCCCAAAGTGATGGGATTACAGGCGGGAGCCACCGCGCCCGGCCCATTTACGCTTTTTTCAAATACCTACTGGTACCTGCTATTTGTTAGGAATTGTTTTAGGCACTGAGAATATTACAATTCACAAAACAGAAGAAACTTTTCTCATGAATCTTATCACCTATTTAGATTCTATAGTTAACCAACAAACTGTATTGTCTTTATCAGTTTTATATAGACCTAATGCTTAGAAACATGTCAGCTGTCAACTTCTCAGAAAGGCCACCAGAAAAATTGTTGTTCCAGTAAAATGGAATTTATTTTATTCATTGCTACAAAGGATGCAATGGTTAATTTCATGTGTCAGTTTGGCTAGACCACATCCCAGATATTTAATCAAACACATCCGGATATTGCTGTGAAGGTATTTTCAGATGAGATTAACATTGAATACTTTGAATGAAGCAGATTACCATCCACAAGGTGGGTGGACCTCATCCAATCAGTTGAAGACCTTAAGAAAAAGAGTGACCTCCCTCTAGATAAGGGGAATTCTACCAGTAGACAGCCTTGAACTTGAAGCACAACATCAGTTCTTCTCTGAGTTCCCAGCTTGCCCACCTACCCTGCAGATTTCGGACTATCCAGCATCCACAACTGCATGAGCCAACTTCTTAAAATAAATGTCTCTGTATATATAAATTCACATCCTATTGTTTCTATTTATCTGGAGAACTCTAATAGTGGGATAACACCATCATGACAGTCTTAATCAGAAGGGAGAAAAAATAGACCGATATTTATAGGGTTTCATTTAAAAATTATTTCATAATAAATGCGAGAAGTTTTAACTCGAGCCATGCAATTCAAGGAGCCAGTTCAGATTAGGTAGTTAATGGTATAATAACTGTGGATTGAGGGGCTAGAGAGGAGATGGTATTCAGGCAAGTACTGAAGAGTAAGCTGTAAGTCCTGATGAGAGATCTATTCAGTTGCTTCGAGGTCTTCAAGAAGCAAGTATTTCCTAAAGAAAGCAGCTAAATGATCTTGCCTAATTTTAGTACTTTTTAACCCCAAAACAGGAAAAAAACCTCCTAAAATTGTTTAGCATAAGGACAGGAAAATACATCATTTCAATTATGAGCTGTATATGTGTATACTAGAGGTTGAAGAATAAGGTAAGAATAAAACAAGGCTTTGGAAGAAAGAATACATGTGTGGTGGCCTCTTTGAAATCAATCTAAGTTTTTTTTTGTTTTTTTTTTCTGAGACTGCGTAGCAGTCTAGATGGTGAAATATATCCTGAATCACAAGTCAGAAGTCCAGGTTGCCAGTTCTGATTCCAGTTTTAACTTTATGACAGGCAATCTTTTGGACTTGTTTGGGTCTGTGTGTATTCACCTTTCATATGGTATCTTAGCCAAGATCTTATTTGGTTTTAAAATTTTGTTATTTTCTTAATAGACAAAAAAAATAGACAATATCTGCTTTGAGCAAGTCATAGGGATAAGACTCCTCAGAGAATACCTGATGGAATGAGGTTGGAAATGAGTACTTGGGAAAAACTAGAGAACAATAGATTTCTCAAAAATTAGTGATTGCCTGAAGCATGCTGAATATAAAGATGATTATTTGAGCCATGCCGCTTTTCTCATAGTAGCTTAATACACAATTTCATAGCCCTTCCATTGACCATTATAAATAAATCAAACATACTTTTGTCACTACGAAGATTTATACATCCAGTAGATGGACAAACATTTGCAAATAGAAAATATGATGTTACAATTTAGTATTATTAAAGCAAACAAAGTTTACTCTTTGCTCTGTTAATGCTGCGTAAAACTGCCTTATAAGAGAATTGTTATTTTTATGCTGAGAAAATGGGATAAGACCAACTTCTGTCAAAAAAGGAAAAAAAAAAAAACTATAAATCAAATGGATGTTAGAGAACACACAGACAATGTTTAATCTTCCCTTTTATAGTTTACAACTTCGTAGTTTTCATCTGGGAATGATTTTTGTTTGTTTGCTTTTTTGTGGGGTGGCAAGCGAGGACACATGCCCACTGCTGCTGCTACTGATAGTGGCTGTCAATGGTCTTCTTTAGAGATGCTTCGCCAGAAGGGTCTAAGGTAGTTGCCAGAACAGTTTAAAGTGGTTTAGAAACAATCTCTTTTATTTCTGTTACATGTTAGATTAACAACAACAACAACAAAACTCTATAATGTGTGCTATAGATAATGCATTTATTTAGTAAAAATGAATGTTCCACTTTTCTGCAGATTCTTTACCTTCACAATTCTGTGGCAGTTAGATGACGAGAGCTCCTGCCATGGGTATCGGCCGCCTGCACTATCAGTCTCCAGCAGTGCTCCTATTAATTATCTCGCCATAGTGCTGGAGACAGATAGCAATCTTTCCTAAAGAGCAGACAGATTTAAAGAGGCAGAATTAATTAAAATTGATTCCCACATTCTATCACATAAAAGTCTGCTGGGAGCCTCTCCTTTCTATACCCCTCCCCACTTCATGATGTTGTACTACATGGTACAGGTGGGAATCCATACCTTAGAATACTAATTATGTAGCTTGAATGGGATTATCCACAGTGATTGGCAGTGTAATGCATGAAAGGATTTTAAAATTTATTTCATTTAGGGGATTTCTTTTGGGACCAATTCTTTCTTCTAACTTATACAAGTTGTTATTGAGAGGAGGACAAAGCTGACAATCCAAGGTCACTAAGGATTATCAGAAAACTTGCAAATGAATTATACATTTTAAAATTGAATTGTTTTACATTGTATGCTTTGGAGACACATGAAGGATTAAAAATGCTGATAACAGAAGTATTGTTAAGTATCCATGTATGTTAACAATCTTTTTTTCTTTTAATGAAAACATCTGAATAATAGAACTTTTACCTGAGCATGGGCAAATAACTAATAATAAAATGAGCTGATAATCCCATATACCATTTTATACTATATATAACTAACCATTACTAGTTTATATCAAAATGAAATATTGTTACTTTAATGAAAACAATAATCCTAGACACCTCAGACTAAGTTTTACTTAATCAAGGAAATGTATTAGTTGGAGTCAATTCTGACTCTGTAACAGTGAAACCCTAAATGTTTAAGCAAGGTAAATATTATGTTTCATGTGACCAACGCAAACATTTAAACACCATAAATAAGATCTTTGGTGTAACAGTTCAGAGGTTACCATTCCAGGGGTGGTATGTGCTCTACCATCTTCAAGAGATAGCTTTTATCTACATCTACAGGAAGAAGAAAAGTTACATGGAGAATATTAAACAAGGAAAAGAAGAAGGCACACTACCTTGCTTTATAAACAGGATCCTGAACTTGTAAATAACCAAGTGCTGCTGCCCACCTAAATCCCTATTGAGGAAGTAGAGGGTAGATATTAGAAAACAGCTAGCATGAATAAGGAATGCAATGTACAAAGTAACAATTAATTTTTTTTTTTTTTTGAGACGGAGTCTTTCTCTGTTGCCTAGACTGGAGTGCAGTAGTGTGATCTTGGCTTTCTGCAACCTCCGCCTCCCGGGTTCAAGCAATTCTCTGTCTCAGCCTCCTGAGTAGTTGGGATTACAGGCATCTGCCACCACGCCTGGCTAAGTTTTGTATTTTTAGTAGAGACGGGGTTTCACCATCTTGGCCAGGCTGGTCTTGAACTCCTGACCTCGTGATCCACCTGCCTCAGGCTCCCAAAGTGCTGGGATTACAGGTGTGAGCCACCGCGTCCGGCCAGTAACAATTAAATTTGTAAAGTTGAAAGACTTAGCGATAGTCTTTGCTTTGTAGTAGAGTTTGCTTTATATTTCTTGGGCTTTCACATTTTATGAAGAATCCTTTTTAGAGTTAGAAATTTGATAATGAGGGTAAATTGTGATTTGGATAACAAAATAAGTCTTTTGAAATATTCTCTTTTTAATATTCTTCACAAATGTTAAAATAATAATTCATGAATAAATATGAGATAAATAATAGGAATAAATTAGGATGGAATAGAGAATTAACCATTAAGTTTATATGAAATATTTTTTATGTTTTAAAACTGACTGAAGTGTGTCATTCCTAACTAAATAAAGGTTTCTAAAGGGAACTTATGTATCTTTGAATGTTACAAATATAGTGTACGATGGATTTGTTACAACCGCTATACTAGTGTTTTAATCAGTATTTTGTAACTCATTATTTGTTTATTTGTTCAACAAACATAGATAGACCACCTAATATGTGTGAGTATACTGTTATAGACTGAGCAGAACACAGCAAAGCAAAGCAGTCCATTTCTTTTCTTTCTTTCTTTTTTTTTTTTTTTTTTTTTCGGTCCTTGAAGTTAGGATCCATTACTTCAAAGCACTTTCAAATCTGTCATTTCTAAAGAAGGAATTTTTCAGGGGAGATTTACAGCATCAAGAGTTTTAAGGATGGTTTAGTAGAACAGTCCAGGTCAATAAATAAAATTATAATAAAAGCAAAGTATGTAAAATTTCCCCTGTAGATACATTGTACCCATTTTTCACAGTTCTAACTTGTTTATCCAAAAGTGTACCCTAATGATTTAGATACTTTTAAAATAGTTAGACAGTGTTAACTTCCTTGTTATTGTTTGCAGCCTATATGTGAATGAGTATATACCCAAGAAAAGATAAAAAGTTTTAAAACTTTAGAAATGTAATATTGCCAAATTTTCTGTGTATATATTTGGGCAAGTAAAGTTTAAAAATATAAATCTTGAGAGTGTCACCAGCTTAACACAAGAGAAGAAAGATGTCAACATTGTCCTTAAGTAAATCGTTTTTTTCTAACAAAAGCAATTGTGTTGTATGAATTCTTACATATTGGCTTTATTTTTCTTCATACACTTTCCTACCTTCAAGAACTTTTTACCAAAAAATGTGCATTACTTTGCTCGTGATAGTAAATGAGTTAAAATATTGTAAAAACTATTATTTGGATACAAACTCAAACTGTGACACATTGACTAAGAACCCTAGATTTTCTTATAATCTTCATGTATTAGCCTCATAAAGCTGAACAATTTACCACTGACAAGTTCATGTGACCCATCAGTTACAGGAAACTAACATGATATAAAAACAACAAATACAGTTTAACAATTATATAACATTTTGAATAAAAAGTAGTGAATGTGACAATGAGATGAATAAGTATCTTTATGAAAAAGTGATATTAGAAAATTATATTAGAATACTTTGATTTCAGATTTGTCACACATTAAACTTGTAATGAATAAAACTAGTAAAAAATGGAATAGATAAAACCAATTTAAAGAATATATAGTATCAACAATATCAGCAAATGATAGGAGATACCTTATGTAAGATCCATAGATCCAGATTTATCACTCCAGAAATATCTCATTTGAAAACAAAGGCATCAATTACTGTTTGTAAGTGACATAGAAAAAAATATGGGTTAGAGACTGTGAGAAATGCATAAAATTTTAATTTTTTTACACTGCAGAGAGGAGTCCCATGGGTTCAATTCTTCTTCCCACATCTAATAGACAGTCTCAATAAGACAGTAAAATTGAATATTCATATTGATGTATAACTTCCTCCTATAAACACCTAACCCGTTTCTTTGATTTTAGCCTTTTTCCTTCCAAGCTGTTTTCCATGCTGCTGGCAGAATTATCTCAAAAAATCACATAAGGATTAAATAAGAATCAACATCTAAAATCTTACCACTCATTACAGACTCATGTATTGCTCCGTCACTTTCCCATCTCGTTTTGTGCCGTTATGTCTCTGCTTTCAGTCCCTCTAAGGACTTGACTCTCTCATCTTCTCAGGCTTCTACAGCTGCTGTTGTTTTTTTTTTTTTTTTGTCTGCTTTCCACTTCCTTCCCTCTCTCCTGCTTTCCTTGATGATTTTACTCCTCCTTTGTCTTAGACTTAACCATCACCTAGATCTATCTTCTTTCCACAGCAGATGCCATAGTACCCTGTTCTTCCCACCATCTGTATTACTCACCATGCTGTTTTCCATCTGCCTGTTCACTTGTCTCAATGCCCATCTGGCCTGTTATCTCTGTGAAGCCAAAGACAGTGTCTAGGGTTGTTACCCCAGTACTTAGAACAGGCTCCTATAATTTTTTGTTTTCGTTTTTGTTTGGCAAGAACACGAAAGTGTCGTCTCTTGTCAACTGGTGCACAACATAATGACTTTTGTAGTCAAATTTTTAAAAGCATTCAAGTTGCTTGCTGGTATTTTTTACTGATTCAATTTCTTTCATAATATGATGTTCGTTGTTTAGGTTTGATAATGGATAATTGCCAGGTTATTTTGGTCATTTAAATGACTAAGTCCCTTTCAGTGCTTTTGACTTCAAGTAGTCAATTTGGATGATGACATGTGAATTAGACATCACAAACTTATGGACTGCTTAATAACAGACTTCAAGTTTATGAAAAGAATATGGATGATAGTAAGCAGCTGTTCCCCTTTTCATTAAGAGGAAAAATGAAGGAATAGGCATAATAATTGCAACAGAAGTTAGATAATAGGGATTTTTATTTCTTTGGTTTTTGTTAGCAAAGCAAATTGTTATGGAAAATTTTTAAGAACTAAGGAAACAGTAATGTTTCTCAATGTTAAAATTTAGAGGACCAAAAGAGAATTAATCTGAAGTGTGTATCTTCTGCCCAACCGCAAATGTATATACATATATATGTATGTGTGTTTGTATATCTCAAATATTTTTTCTTCTTTTCATTCTGTCTTTTTGAAATCTATTCCCTGCAATATGCTTCCAACTGAGAGTTTAAATTCTTTCCATACTTCTTCCCCTTCCATTTATACAACACATAAAGTCAAAAAATATTTATTTTTCTTTCAAAGCATACTAGATCCTCACGGCTGAGAATGCTTCAGTGGCTTTGTTTTGCATTGAGAATAAAACCCAAACTCCTCACCAAGGCCCACAAGGCCCTATGTCATCTGCCTTTTTTTTTTTTCTTCTGACACAGTCTCGCTCTGTCTCCCAGGCTAAAGTGCAATGGCGCGATCTCAGATCACTGCAAGCTCTGCCTCCCGGGTTCACGCCATTCTCCTGCCTCAGCCTCCCGAGTAGCTGGGACTACAGGCGCCCGCCACCGTGCCCGGCTAATTTTTTGTATTTTTAATAGAGACAGGGTTCATCACCACCTCATCTTCTACCTCACTCAATATATTCCAGTTTCATAGCAAGCTTAATAAACTTCTGTTTCTTGAGTTTATCAAGCTTGTTAATGTCTTACAGCCTTTATGATTTATGTGTATTCTGCTGAAATGTGCACCCCCAGGTCTTAACATGCCTCGCTCTTTCTCATCAGTCTGCTCTTGGCCAAAGTTTCACCTCTTCAAAGAGCTATTTCTTGGTCATTCGCATTGAAGCTGCCTTCCCTACGTCTCTATTCCCTTCTTTGTTTATTTTCTTGTGACATTTAACACCGTTCAAAACCCTCATGCATTTAGCTGTTTGTTTATTACTTGCCTTATCTGTCTTCTTCAGAGGAATGTGAGCTCCAAGAAAGAAGTATCCTGCCGGGCGCGGTGGCTCACGCCTGTAATCCCAGCACTTTGGGAGGCCGAGGCGGGCGGATCACGAGGTCAGGAGATCGAGACCATCCCGGCTAAAAACGGTGAAACCCCGTCTCTAGTAAAAAAATACAAAAAATTAGCCGGGCGTAGTGGCGGGCGCCTGTAGTCCCAGCTACTAGGGAGGCTGAGGCAGGAGAATGGCGTGAACCCGGGAGGCGGAGCTTGCAGTGAGAGGAGATCTCGCCACTGCACTCCAGACTGGGCGACAGAGCGAGACTCCGTCTCAAAAAAAAAAAAAAAGAAAAAAAAAAAAAAAAAAAAAAAAAAAAGAAGTATCCTATCTGCTTTCTTCATCACTGCATCCCCAGAACCTAACACAAAGAGCAGGCACATAGTTTGAGAAATGAAAACATGTGGAAAGTTTCTGGTGTAGAGTTCCACTAAATTCAACAAATGAGAGCAGAAGGAAAAGGTATCATGCTTCATGAAACTCATTGTTAGTATAGCTTCCATACTTTCCGGCTTCTTTGAAAGCCTAATTATTGAAGTTACTCTAGTATTAATTAATATAATACATGTACATTAAGGGTTTTTTTCTTATAATTTTTCCATATTAAAAATGTTTTAAAAAATCTCTGTGGGTTTTTAAGTGCAAACATTTTCCATAATGGGATTACCCATGGGGAAAATTTTATAAATCTATGACTAAAACAATATTAATTGTACCTGCCATGAAGCAAAAGCAAAATAAATAGCAGATGTTGGAGTAATATAATACATTTAGTTTTTAATAGCTAGTATGAGATTTGCTACTTTTCTCTAGAACATCTCCACACTGAAATGATAGCAATTAAACTATACGGCATCTGTGAGCTCACTTTGTTTAGACTTGTAGCTGATCACTCTTCAAAAAAAATAGAGTATAGCATCTGCTGGCTATACTCTGAGAATACTGCCGAAATAGATGTTTATGTAGCACTAGTCTTCAAACAGTGGTTATATAATGTTTATATTCATATAATGACACTTTATTATCTCACACATGATAAATATGTATGGTAGCATCTTATCATAAATGTTTAGAATAAAATACCAACAAATTGCTGTGAAGTGAAGTAAGATTATTAGATGTGTTTTGCTAGCTGGCAACATACCCAAACCAAATAACTTCAGAAATATCAGTGAACACGTGGCAACAGTTTTGCGGCAGCTACATTTGAATTATCAACTGGAACTTTTTACAAACACCTCCTAAATGGATATAGAAACATTAATGTTCTATATTATTACTGTTGTCTATTTTAAGAATGATGAGAAATACTCCAGACGCTAACAGCTAACTTTATATAATATCACAACAATTTTATGTGACATCTAGGGAAAATAATGATAATTAACTTACTATAAAAAATTATCATGGAAATAGAAGACTTTTTAGCAGTATGTTCACATGACCAAAAGATCTGGACTCAGATTTATCTTCAAGGAAAGATAAGATTATATACTTTGTAGATATTATATATATATATATATATGTATATTATATATATATATCACAGTTTAATAATTCTATTTTTGATAATTTCTATGTTATTCCATTATTCTCAAAAAGGGACCACTGTGCTTTTTCAGATATGCGATAAGTCCCATCTTAAATAAATTACATTTCCTCCTATCTTGCCGCCTCTTTAAGGTATTACCCAAACGTTACTTTTCCTGCAAATTAAACCATTTATTTTTCCTCTCCCTTTACTTCTTTTCCTTTTCCAATACATTTTATTCAGGTGATTCCAAATCTACTTAACAACTGTTCTCAGTACCTCAGTAAGTCATTCATTTTCCCAACATTGTGAAATGTAAAGATTTATTTTAAATTCTTACTTCTTATTCCAGGGTTGTAAACCTTGTTCTCATTTTTTCTCTCCCTACCTTCCTATCCCCTACCTTTTTTTTTTTTCACTATGATTTCCTAACATTAAATACCAACTCAATGTTAATTGACTCAAATGTGTATGTTGAGTTGGGACCTGACTTCTGAGCTACAGAGCCACCTATCCGGGTGTCAAATGGCTTCATCTTAGTATCTTGCAGGTATTTTACTATTATTTTGTTGAAAACCTAACTCATTTTCTTCACTTTACTTCCTCAATGTACTTCCAAACTGAATTCTCCATTTAACTGTGTCATCAGTATCCCAAAACTAAACACTGTAGTTTTCCATTATTCCATCTCTCTCACTGCCCTACATTCGACTGGTCCATCAGAGCTTTCCAGTTTTGACTCAGAATATCTCTCTGGGTTTTGGCTCTTCTTGATATCCCCAGTACCATATCTCACACCTTGTAATATTTTTAATCCTTTAGTTTTATTCACATTGCTATTACCATAATGATAATATTATTTCCTCCTACTTGGACTACTGCCATGGCTTTCTAATTGCATTCTTTGCCCGTTGTTCTTACCTATTGAATCCAGTTACTTTTGTGTGACAGAAAATAGATGAAGTTACACCCAAGGTTTATGGACTGCAAATGGCTTGCCCTTACCTATAGTTATAAGCCCAATTTTCTCAACATGATATTCAAGGCTCTACAGCATGCGAACCCAGTTTTCCTTTTTAGTGTCATCTCCTGTGGCTCTCTTTGTTCATGTTCCAGAATAAGTAGCTTTTCTCTTTGTTCACTTTCCTAATCTCTCCAGGGAAAGAAAAAAATCCATGCCTCTTCCATTTTACTTCCTCAACATAAATCAAATATATCTACTATAAGATTTTCCTATGTAACTTTAGTATAATATGTGTTTTTCTGCACAGGAAAATTGAGTGCACTAGATTAGGAATGATGTCTTACCAGAGCCATATGTCCAAGACTAAACGGTTAAGGAATAGGTGGTAAATGAAGGTGGAAGAAGTTGATAGCTATATGAATTGAAAAATTGTATGTGTGCCTAAGTGATTTTGTGTGTGTCTATGCAACTCAAAAATAATGCTAACATACGAAAACGTAATGTATCAAATATAATGAGAATGTACTGCCTATTTACAGTAGGACGCATGCAGGTTGTAGGAGGGAAGTCTGCAGTTTTGAACATCTGCAAGGGGAACAGGACCACTTCTAACTGTCCATTTTCAAATTCTATCAGAAATCAATTTTGCCTTCTCTGAACACAGAATGAAGCAATCACTCTGTGTTCATAGAAAAAATAGTGACATACGTAGTAGATATTTGAATACCATTGCCTTCCCTATTTGGAGTCTCTGGGGTACTACATGTATTCTACTCATGCTAGTAATACCAATTTGATTTTACTTTTAGAAATATATAAGTTATTTTGTCTCTATGTAGGAAACCTATAACATTTCTTCTTTGGTTTTATGATCCCGTTCTTGTAGCATTTAAATCTGCAAGTCCATGAAAATCATTCACTTGAAACTAAAGAGAATTTGAGGAAACATCAGTGTTTCAATTATGTTATTTTATACTTCATCAAAACATAAAATGTTGCCCCACCTTAGTAAAGCATTCTATGAATCAAAGTAGTTCAAGACAATAGGCTTTCTAACCTTGGGACCATATGTCCCTTTCAGACTCATTTCTCACCTGCGCTTCAGACAGGTCTCTCTTTGAACCTGTTTGCTTCAGGGCCAGGCCCTCAGGCCTCTGTGCTGTGCTCATGCTGTTGCTGCTGATCATACTTTCAACTTCTGCTTGCACGTTACAACTCATATGCCAATGCATCAGTCAGTTGTCAGCTCCAACACGCCCACCAGGGCCAAATATTGCACAATTAGCCCCTCCTTGAAGTTGTCCTAAAAGCATTGAGAGCATTGTGTTTAAAACCTAAGTCGACACCTCTCCTCACCTTCCCACATCAATGATGTCTCTATCATAGGCCTTTTGTACTATACTTCTTTGTCTCCCAGCCCAGTGAGTTTCAAGGACAGGTATTGTGACTCCAGCAAAAATAGCCTGGCATGAAGGCAGTCAATAACTGATGAACTGAAGTCAAACAGCCCCTACGCTAAAACATTGAGAAAGCTTGTTTTTGTTTATGTTCTCACTAAAATGTAATGAAACAGCATTTCTAAAGAAGAGATTTGGTGAGTGGCATTTACCATAATAAACTTAATATGGAAATGTCGTCACATCATTACAATCGCTACAGTCTCTACTAATATTTATCTTAAGATTTCATTTCTGTGGATATGATACTTGAAATTGAGTCCTTGGTGTACTCTATACACAGAGGTTTCTTTAGATCTTAAAAGTGTGCTTTTCTTCCTTTGAATTATAAAAGATAGCCTAAGTCTTTCATTAAGCTTCTGGAAACAGGGCCCAGAAGAAAACAAAATACATCTTTATTCTCATTCACACAGTATTCTATACTGAGCAGGTCAATGTTTTGAGACCCTGCTTTTATCTTTATCTTTTTTTTTTCCTTATTCACTCATGTCTCACAAATATTTTACTTGAGTCTTCATTTTCTGTGCTGCCAGTATTATCTATATTTTGGGAGCACTTTGCTACATCCAGTCTATTCATTTATGTCTTGTGTATTCCATCAAGTTCTTTTATATGTAACCACTTCCAATATTAAAGTGTTTCAGCACCAGCTCCTATATTTCACTTAAAACAGTGTGACACTAAAAGTCAATTTATTCAGTTGTATACAGAAAATAGAATTTATGCTTATCAGCTCAGCTGTTCCATTTAAAAAATACTTATTTTTGTCTTGTTTCAATTTACACATATTTTATTTAAATATACCTTTCAAATAGTTTATTCTCTTGAAAAAGTTTTAAACATTTTATTTTTCCAAAGCCATCTCAGTGGCAAACATCTTCACTTTGGCATTTTATCAGTTTTGCTTTCAGTGATTATAGTGAATGTGTGCTCTTTATGGGAACCAATTCTTCTCTACTCAAATTTATTTAGATGGAGACAAATAGCATTTCTTGAATTACCAGAATATAAGAATTTGAAAAGTGCAAGCACACCCTATTCCTATAGCTATCTATCCATTTATTCCTGAATACATTTTGAAAAATAAAATACTCAGATTCATAAGAAATTTTTAATTCTATTTTGCTGCAAGGGCCAAGTTTAAAACACTAGGAATCGTAAATCATTCTTAAGAATCACATATTTTTAATGCTTTTATTGAAGAAATCATAAGCAACAAGAACTCAAATGCAACTTTAGCTATAAGTTAATTGTTTCATTATTTACTACTTTTTTTTCTTTTCTTCTCTTTTTTTTTTTTTTTTTGGCAGCGTCTCACTCTGTTACCAGGTTGGAGGGTAGTAGCGCAATCTAGGCTCACTGCACTGCAACCTCCACCTCCCAGATGAGTAACTTGGACTACAGGCACACAGAACCATACCCAGCCAATTTTTGTAGTTTTTTTTTTTTTTTGTACAGACAGGGTCTCACTTTGTTGCCCAGGCTGTTCTTGAATTCCTTAACTGAAGCAATCTGCCCATGTTGGCCTCCTAAACTGCTCAGATTACAGGTGTGAGCCACTACACCTGGTCTTTTACTGTTTATAAATGGGGAAACATACCAAATGAGTACAATATTAATTCATTTGGACATTTTCTTTGTTTGAATATTACCATCATTTTAAAAATCACATGTTATTGATTATAGGTAAGCCTTTCTGTAAAATAAACATATAATAAGTGTTTAACCATTTTTCTTATATAAAAATTATTTACATGGCATGACATTTCTAGTTGTAACTAATTTTTACCCATATTCAATTTATTAAAGTACACATCACTTTCAAGATCTAGAAGCACTGAGGAAATGAACTAGGACATCAAAATGAAAGTAGATGTTGGAAGACAGAGGAGAAATTCAAGTTGCCTAATGCCTCATTATACTTTTACCATTCTCAATTTTTAAAGTTTTTATCTTGGATTAAGTTTCTAACAATGACACTGTGTACAGCTGTGTTTAGGAAGCTGCTACTATCTGTGTCTACCACATAATGATTATATACTTTTGTCTTTTCCAGTCATAGTTTGAGGTGTAAAAATTCTGATGTAAACATCTGAAGCTAAATATTCTTCTTTAAGCTTACCATGGAATTTTCCAAATGCATTTTGCAAGCTGATTTAATATGTTACTGTGCTGGCTTTACAGATGTACAATAAAAATAATTTAATACATTGCAGTGACAAATACTGAAAATTAAGAATGGTCAAATGTAATACTTATGGCTGTTATATTTCAAAATCATTTACATGTGGTTTTAAATATATTGCATTTATCCTAAACGTACTGTCAGAAATACATATATTTGCATGCATGCCTGTAATGTCTAACTCTTTCTTGGTGTTGATTTTCATTTTCCAAACACAAACAATCACAATAAAGACCCTACTTTGGCTAAGTTTATACCATGTCCATATTTACAGCTTTTTAAACAGATCTCTGATAAACCAGATAGAAACATAATAAAACAGTGATATTTGCTCTTCCTTCTGTCACTTTTTGGCACTACTCATTAGTAGAAAGAGAAGGTGAGAAGGTGACCTTCTTTTTTTAAAATTGTTGTTATTGTTGTGGGATTTGGGGGATTGATAATTGGAAACCTCCAAACAGCCTCCAAAGACCAATTAACAAAGGATGATGTGTAAAGTGCCAGCCTGTGTTTCAATTAAATGCCTACTTTAGGTGGTACTCAGCAGAGATACAACTTCTATATATACCAATTGTCTTCTTGCTATGCCCATACTAATAATACTTTGGAGAAATTAATTACCAAATATTAAAATATTTTTTTCAATTGACAGATGAACCAATTATTATATTTCATACATGGACCTATTATTATATCTCACATAGGGTAAATATTTTTGACCTTTTAAATTGCTCTGTCATTATAAGAATACAGGTTAGTTGTAGAATGACAAATAACCACTGCATTATATTTTATTTTATTTTTTAATGTTTATTTTCACTTCTGGGGTACACGTGCAGGCCTTTTACATAGATAAACATGTGTCATGGTGGTTTGCTGTACAGATTAATTTATCACCCAGGTATTAAGCCTCGTACCCATTAGTTATTTTTCCTGAATCTCTCCTTCCTCCCACCCTCCACTCTCCAAAAGGCCCCAGTGGATACGTTCCGCTCTGTGTGTCCATGTGTTCTCATCATTTAGCTCCCAATTGTGAGAGCATGTGGTATTTTATTTTGTGTTCCTCTGTTAGTTTGCTAAGGATAATGGCCTCCAGCTCCATTCATGTCTCCGCAAAGGATGTGATCTCATTCTTTTTTATGGCTGCATGGTATTCTATAGTGTATATGTGCCACATTTTCTTTATCCAGTCTATTATTGATGGGCTTTTAGGTTGACTTAGTGACTTTGCTATTGTGAATAGCGTTGCAATGAACATACACATGCATGTGTCTTCAAAATAGAATGATTTATATTCCTCTGTGTATATACCCAGTAACAGGATTGCTGGGTCAAATGGTATTGCTATCTTTAGATTATATAACTTCAATGTTCCTAAGTAAAAGATTTAGATTTGAAAACATGGCAAATCTTCCCAAGGTGATCTTTAATGCAATTTAATTAAAAAAAAATCTCAATGGAATGCTTATTTGTTAGTTTATTTGCCTAACTCTTTGATTGAAAACTTAGTACCATGATACTAATTTTAATCTATAGAAGAGCAATGGGTAGTATTTGAAGAATGACGTGATTTTCCTGACTTTATGATTTAGGGAACATTTCATAAACAAGAATGTTTCATTGTGGTATAACTATAGATAGGCCAATGAAAAGTCAATAATTCCAGCAGATCTGACAATTATAAATATTTAATATTTATAATATATAAATATATTTAGCTAGCCGAGTTAATTATTGAGTGTTAATTATATGTCAGGTTCTTTTTAAGTTTTCTACATAGATATATTAACTAACTCTCCTACCCACCCTGTTAGGAATTTACTATTATTATTCCCATTTACAGACGAGGTTGCAGAAACCAAAAGTCTCAGAGCCTTCCCAGAGTCACACAACTGGTAAGGGCACTCTATCATGATAAAGAGAACAGTTCAATTCTTGGTAAAATATCACCACATTAACAATTTTTTTAATTGATTACCAGATTATTTGAAAAAAGCAAAAGTTAAATGCTTACCTCATGATGTGTAGAGAGATAGATGATTGTTGAAGATTTAAACAAACAACAAAAATCTACAGTTGCTATCTATAAAATTGTTGGGAGACACATACCTTTTAAAGTGATACAATAACCTCATTTATTTTATTATAAAAAAGCTCTAAATGTAAATAAGGAAAAATGACTTATTTGTAAAATAAATAATGTAAAATATAAACTTTTCATTATCAATGAGATGAATTAAACAATTCACATTTACGCATTGTATGATTATACTGGAGTTTTTTTTGTTTGTTTTTTTTTGAGACGGAGTCTCACTCTGTCGCCCAGGCTGGAGTGCAGTGGCGCAATCTCAGCTCACTGCAACCTCTGCCTCCCAGGTTCATGCCATTCTCCTGCCTCAGCCTCCCGAGTAGCTGGGACTACAGGTTCCCGCCACCATGCCCGGCTAATTTTTTGTATTTTTAGTAGAGACGGGGTTTCACCATGTTAGCCAGGATGGTCTTGATCTCCTGACCTCGTGATCCGCCCGTCTCGGCCTCCCAAAGTGCTGGGATTACAGGCGTGAGCCACCGCGCCTGGCCTATACTGGAGTTTTAAAATGTTAATAAGAAGCTTGTCTTGGGTTTGATCATAGAGACCCTGTTCTATAATGCCTGTGTTAGGAGGTGTTACATGTTCTGGAATGGCAACTTGTTGTTTTACATTAAAAATATTTAAAAATATGTATACTCTTTGAACCATAAATTCTATTTCTAAGGAAGGATTATAAATGTATTTCAAACAACAAAATGCCCAACAGTAGAAACCTGACTTAATAAACTACTGAATGTGACATATCACATTAAAAAAAAAACCTTTAGGTAGCCAGAGACTGATAAGTAAGAACTTAACTGTAGTTAATGCTAAATAATGTCAGCCATTGAAGACTTCGACAGTTTTAACAGGAATGTTACATATTTTTCATGAAGTAGAGAAAAAAATTGCTATGCCAAACAAAGATTTTTAAAAATGTCTTTCTGTCTTTAATAAGTTAATATGCATTTAATATATAAGTCATAAAAGTTAATATTTTAACATGTGTAACTCCTGGGAACTATAAGTAAAATGATCAGTAAAACATTTCATGTATAATGACCTTTAGTAATTTGTCTTCCAAAAATATTCACCTGTACAGACAGTCTTACAAATGAGAATGCTAAAAATCTGGATGACTACATCCTGAAAGGAATAGCTTTTTGTCTCTCACAGAAGATAAACACATTTGACCATTTCCATGTCATCATTTTTCTTCCAATTTATAGTGTCAATACTGCTTCCCCCAGCCAGGAGCATTCTCCCCTAAGATTTTATGCTTAATAGCATGCATTCATCAGAGTTCTCCAGAGAAATGAATCCAATAAGATGTGCATATATACATATACATATATATACATATACATATATATACATATATATATATATATATATAATCTCCATGCTATTATGGATGCTGAGAAGTCCCAAGATTTGCAGTATGAGTGAGCAAGCTGGAGAGCTGGAGACCAGGAGAGTTGAGGAACTCAGAGTTCCTCTGAGTCTGAAGGCCTCAGAACCAGGAGAACTCACGTAAGTTTCAGTCTGAAGACTGACAAGCTGAAGTACTGGAAAGAGCTAATATTTTGGTTTGATACAGTTGAGCAGGAGGAAATGTCTCTTGCTTTGAGGGAGGGTTAGCCTTTTGGTTCTATTCAGGCTTTCAACTGATTGAATGAGGCCTAACCACATTAGAAATGACAATCTGCTCACCCAGTCTTTCCATTTAAATGTTAATCTCATCCAAAACACTTTCACGGAAATACATGGATTAATGTTTGACCAACTATCTAGGCACCCTGTGGCCCAGTCAAGTTGACACATAAAATTAACCACCACATAGTGGAATGCAAATATACCTGTGTATATGAATATATATATGTGTTTATATCTATTTGAAATTAATATATAACATAGTAAAATAATATAATATATATAATATATAAATGTACTTGTTCAATTGTGCAATAGATCCTAAATATATGTATTGATATTTATTGATATATGTCTGTTAATTAATTCAGGCAGCATATTATGATTAGTTGATTCTGAATGTCAAAGGTAGAAAATGGAGACCTCCTGGTGGAGAAAGTTTTGTAGATTGTCTGATTTGGCTATCCTAGGCAGATACATAGCAGAGTAACCCATTTTTCGTCTACTATTTTTTGAAGGTATTTCCACAGGCTTTCTAAAGATTAGGTCCAGTCTGATTCTTCACCAGCTTTCTTTTTAGAGCAAGCCATGTGGTCTTATTTCGCTTTTTTGTCTTATTGCTATTCTCCCTTGGTTTTCTTGTTCCTTAAGACAGAGGGCAGCTCATACTCAGACTCCTCTGGTCCTCAGGATCTTGATTGCAGTGACAATAAACCCCTTGTTCTTGTTTTTCTTCTTGGAAGGTCTTTTCTTTTCTTTTCTTTCCTTTCTCTCTTTCTTTCTCTCTCTCTTCCTTTCTTTCTTTCTTTCTTCTTTTTTTTTGAAATGGAGTCTTGCTCTGTCACCCAGGCTGGAGTACAGTGGCACAATCTCAGCTCACTGCAACCTCCACTTCCCACGTTCAAGTGATTCTCCTGCCTCAGCCTCCCTGAGTAGCTGGGACTACAGGCACCTGCCATCATGCCCAGCTACCTTTTGTATTTTTAGTAGAGACAGGGTTTCACCATATTGACCACGCTGGTCTCGAACTCCTGACCTCAGGTGATCCACCTGTCTCTGCCTCCCAAAGTGCTGGGATTACAGGCATGAGCCACTGCCCCTCGTCTGTTGTTCTTAAGCTTTCTAAAGCATTTTGTTCATCATAAGAAATTCTCTGTATGGAGGTCTTTATGATTCAATCCACAGTATCTATTCCAACCCAAATGGTGGTAAACCCTTGCACTTGTTAGAGATTAGTGTATCACTGAGTTTCTGATCCAATGCTTGACCATGTAGTATAGAAGGAAGAATGCTGAGAGAGCTTTTAGAAAATTGTCATTGCTCCTAAGGAGACACATACAGATGTGAATATTACTCTTCCATCTGCTGGATCCATCTTACAATACTGAGGGAGGCTAACTTAAAAAGCAAAGACTTTTCACATTTTGCATGAGATGATGGAGGCTGAAAGGCAACCTCCAATCTTGGAGCCCACCCTACCTCTAGACATACTTCAGAATTAAAAACAACAACAACAACAACAAAACTTACCATTTAAACCAGTTTGGTTTGAAATATTCTGAGGTTTCCTACCAAAAGCATCCTAACGGATATAATGCTAATAATAAAAATAGCAAATATGGGAAATAGCATACTTGTTTCATTAAAACTTAACCTCAAATCTCTAGAAACATGCATGTTAAAATTAATAAATGTAAAAGCAAAGAATCTACAATGTTCATCACAGATTTTCAAACAGAAGATTTTCTCAAAGACAATCCCTGGACCTGATTTTGTGGGTATGTTTCATGAAAACTGCTCCTCTTCATTGAAAGTCATCTAAAAATTTTCCTTCAAGTAGACTTACCTTTAGAGAGGATGATTCAGTCCAAGCAAAACAATGGTTAATTTTCAGAAATAACCTTTTGTAATAAATATCTCCTGAGTTACACTAGATATCAGTGTGAATCATTTTCTAAATTCTCTTCTACTTTGGTGTCACACTGTGCGATATTTTCAAATTAGAATAGAGAAGGCACTTGAAATCCCCTATTGTTTCTAAAAAATACTATTCTTATATTTTGGTTTTGTTAATAGGGATGTTTAACAATATCTCAATGTTCATTTAATGCATTACTTTTCAAGACATATTGCCTTTCTCACAAGAATTTGCAAGTTTATCATTTAAGTTTTTATTCAGTTCTATAGGTAATCTTAGCTCATGGAATGGTAGTATACAAGTATTCTTGGAATCACAAAATTGTTCATTTAAGCCTTTCCCCAACACAAGTTCAGGGAGATTAAGTTTTAAAACATCTATGGAAGGAATCAATAACAGATTCCAAAATGTACATGATTCTGTTTTTTTATGTCTTTTCCTCATTTAGAATAAGTTGTAAATATATCAGTCCTAAAAATACTCATAATAATTTATTTTATATTTACAATGAAGATGCTAATAAGTTGTCTTGAAACACACATTTTAAACATCAAATATTTAAAAGTGACTTTTAACAATCATTACCGTAGATATAGTGGGAATCATAAGCAGTAGCCTTTTAACTCACCCTAAGACAATTAGAGTTGAACTTTTTTTTTTTTACCTAATGAATCTATAACTGGAGAAGATATGTTTAGCATAAATACATGATCATGTGTCTATAAAAGAACAATTTCTCGATCATGTAGGAAAAGTGGTTAATGCTGAACAAATTAGTAAAGTAATTCAAGCAAAGAAAATCCCCTATAAAGAGAGCTAGTAAGATCCACGTTATGTAAAGTAAATGGTATAAAACTAAGGAATCAGGAGCTTCTTTTCCTGTTAAATACAGTGTTCAATTTCCAAATACGTAAGACTACACTGCAATGTAAGGAGTGTTCATACCAACAAGGAAACTTTTTCTCTTACAAGAAACTGAAAATAATATTAAATTCAATTATGTAAGAACTTATTCCTGTTTGCCCCAAATCAAATTATGTAACATTCTAATTTAGAAATCACAAGTTTCATTTGAATTTGACATCTTGTAATACATTAGTCCTTGAGCAAGAGGTTTAATTTAATGTCATTTATTCTGCCTTACATCAAGCAAGGTATAGTAACATAATGTACCCCATTTTATATACCTGGAAGCTAATGGTTTAAGGAAATTACTTAAGGTCACAAAGCAAGTAAGTGTTGGAATCAGGTTTAGATTCTAAGGGTACATGACTCCATTGTACTAGTTCACACTAATGTTAAATACTTCATAACAGAGGGTTGAAAAGCAGCTGAAAGAAGGATGTGGGTTGCCAGGGGCTGGGAGGAAATGGAGGGGTGATGGTTAAATGGTACAAAGTTTCAGTTATGCATAATAAATAACTTCCGGAGATTTGTTCTACAGCATAGTACCTATAGCCAATGATACTGCAGGTTTATACTTAAAATTTTGTAAGACGATAGGTCTTATGTTAAGTGTTCTTACAAAACAACAATAAGGTAGACTACTGTACAGAAATCTTGTGCTTATTTTGTTTCTGTTTTCACTGTTTAGAAATACTGGGAATATTTTAGTCTTCTCCTAAAATATTTACTTATAAGATGATAAAATAGGTTCTTAAATGTAACATTTGTCCAGAGGGGGAGAAAAGTGGACAACATTCATTGACATATATTTTACGTAGTATTGTGAGTGTCAGAGTTTTTTCTTTAATGTAAGTAAAAAAAAGTAAAATTTTTAAATTCAAAAATGTTGTATATATGTTTATTTCACTATATACAAAATTAGATAGGCCCTAATACATTCATTTTCATGATTTCTTTCCTTTTTACACATTGAATGTATGTCTTTTATGAAAGTGATTTAAAAATACAATTACACATGAAAATTCTCATTGAAACCAAATTAACATGATAACTACCTTGAATTTTCTTTCTTTAGTGACATTTGAGCTTTAGTTTTAATCGTGATTTTCTTTATTTTAAAAGACATATATGGAATAATGAAATTAATGTATAGTTTTTCATGTTAAACATAAAAAGGGCACACCAAAATTAGTTTATAAATTGGTACAGAGCTTTACCAAAATTCATTAAATATGTCAGTTGTTTAATATGAAATGTTATTATTATTCTTGTAGAGTTGAGAAAATAAATTAGAACCAGGAAGAGGTGATGCTATTATTGTATTAAAATCAAACACACAAAGCTCTGGCAGAAGTCTAATGTCAATTGGTAGCTTATTTCTTTTCCTGTGTGCCTTTGAAGTAATTAACATATTAATATAAGTCCCTATGATTGTGTAATTTCATGGTTTTATTGAAATATTTATTTTTTCCCAATATTTTAGCATATTTGTGGTAAAAGAAATATATTGTTTTTATATGAATTATGACATTTTTAAACATGTCCCCTTGAAGTTAGGTATTTTTGTATATTTTTCATAATTTGAAGGATTACCAATCTCCAAATCCCCTACAAAGCTTAACACATGAACTAATGTCTATCACAATACTGAATTTTCTCCTGTATACAAGGTAACTAGCTTGCTCTTCGTCACCATTGGGTCAGTTATTTACATGTAACAATATCAACGTAGTAGAGTCAAATCTGAGAAATGGTCATCTTGCTTATGGACAAAGCAGACATTGTCAATTTGGCTGCACTCTAGGTTTAAGATAATACCTTTTCCCTGAAATTTCCTAAAGCATGTGTCTCTGACCACAGGAAACAACAATGGATCAAAACTAGAGCAAAGCAAATATTAGTAAAATTAGACCATTACCATAGACTTTATGATTCCTAAATGATTTTTATAATGTAACGTCTGCTCCACGAGACAGCCCTGAGAGTCATGGAGATAGATTCTGCTAATAACCTTGGACAAGATCCTTGCTGTGGCCCCTCTGTAGCATTCTCCAGCTCTAAACAGTTTCCAGCTACTCAAGGTTTTATATTATCAACTCTGACTGGGCTCTCACTTGGCCTCACCCAATGTACCATGTCCTTGCTGTACAATTTTCAGACCCTCCAGGAACTGTGCCACTTCTTCCCAGATAATCATAACTAACGAAATTTACACCCCTTACCCCACTCTCAAAAGTGTCTCATTTTATGAAGAACTGGACAAAGGCTTTCCAATAACTTTACACTGAATATGGAGAGAGAAAATTACATTGTTGCTTGACATTTGTATAATTATGAATTGCTAAATGAATCCATGTATTCTGCACTATTCGATCAATAATTTTCATTAAAATATACAAAGAATATGTCTGTTTCCCACCAAAAGTTCTAGGCAAATTTAATATTTTGAACAGTTATTACATTTTGACCATTTCACATCATATTTGTTAAATACTTAGGCTTAAAATGTCATAAGTTTGTCGATTCTGTCTTAGATGTTTTTTAAGGTAGAGATGCAGCTCCTTTTAAGTCACTGAAGCTCACTCTCATTTATATTATATTTTTTGTTAGTAATTTCTATTTCTATTTCTTTCAGCTAAGTCTTATTAACTATTTTTCTCACGTTATAATTTTTATTACGCAAATACGTGCTCGTTTGGTGATTAATTACACTAATACTTTTAATCAGTTAAATCAGTAAAGAAAGCTAAAAAAAGTGTTTCTGAAATGAAACTAAATATATTATTTTGAGCTTCATATTGATGTTCTCCAAAGTAGAAGTTTTTTTGTTATTATTATTTATTTTCTAGCAAAACATCAGGTAGGGATCAGACTATGGGATTCATTTAAACATATTATTCATTTTATGATGTATCTTGAAGTGAAAATAGGGGAATCAAAAGATTCAAAGAATCATGCCTATATTCAGATTAAAGATATAGAATAATACACACAAAATTTCGTGGTACAAGAAGATATCTAGCACCTGCAGCTTTATTATAAACATCAGTGAAAAGCCACTGGGAAATAACAGGAAGCAGATTTAGTAAAACCTTGGGAGGATTTTAAAATATTACTATGGGATGCTTTCTCTCTATATCTTCTGAATAGAAGCAAAAGCCTAGTCTTAACTATACATTATTTCATAACGATAAAATTACTAGGAATCCACCTAAATGATTATACTCTCTGAATTAAATTTCAAATAAAGTATTGCTTCTGGTTACTATGGACTGTATTAACAGTGGCTTAAAGTTCTCAATTAAATGCACACAGACTACATTCCCATTCCAGTTGGAGCAACTCTATGGAGCTTTGAAAATATTTCTGGTGAGAAAAAGGATAATGTGAATGTAGCCAGATTATGTTGCTATGACAACTATGACTTCTGTATTTCTAGGCTTTTTGTGTGTGTGTGTGTGTGTTTAAACTTTCAGCCTTCAGGTTGTATTGCCAGTTTTTTCCTAATCTATCTGATACATATGTGAAAATGCTGACTAAACTATAACAAGGAAAAATATTCATAGCATTTTTTTTGAAAACGTATCCCTCAATTAAAATAAATTTTCAAGTAAAAAAAAACGCTGACTCTAACAGACAACATACTTTACTTCCAATAACATCACAGATGTGTGTGCATATAAAGAATGCTATTAACAGCATATATTTTTGTTAAAAATTTGAATCTTAAAAAAAGCAAAGGCAACAGCAAAACTAAATACAATTACCTTTCTTGCAAATATCTTTTGCAAATAACACAAAAAGGATTTTGCAGTATTCAGCCAATGAACTATCTCATATTACTTAAAAAAATACATATATACACATTCATCTATATACACAAATTATGTAATTATACTAAAATATCTAACTGGAGGAAGTTATGTATATCTCAATTTTAAAGTATACACTAATTAATTAATGGTTTAAAATTTGTTAATGTGAGTTAGGATGGAGGAAATAACAAATGTTTTTATTCTTGCATACAAAATGACATTTTAAATCTCTATAACGATGATTTGGACTAAAACTTTATTCTAGTTTTTAGGTAAGGAGTCTGAGCTCAAAATGTTTAAATACTTTAGGTAATTTAAGTGACATGGTCAAATAATTGTTAGATAATAGAAAATCAGAATATGAATTATATTTATGTTGGAATTATTCCAAAATAATATTTGTGTCAGAGACGTAGTCATTGATCCTGGTCTAGTGCTTCTGTTATTAATCTCTTAAAGACTATCTTATAACTTTTCGTATAGACACTTCTCCAGATTAATTTTCAATAACTCCAACAAGTATGTTGATACACCAAAGCCCAAGATGACACATGAGTAAACACTCATTTTTTGAGTAAGCACTCATTTTTCAATTAAACTAAGAGAATACAATTTTCAATCATGGATGTGTTAAAATCACTTAACTTTACCCTATTTTTTACAGGAATAGATGGATCAATTCCAATTCATTTAGAAGTTCTAACGAGATTTGTTTTCTGATATAATGTGTAAAAATAAGTTGTTTGGCATGCTAAAGTTTGTGTGTGTGCACACACATGTATAGAAAACTACTTTAGGAACTAAAACTTGAAAGATGACATTCGGGGTGGATTTATATACTTTAATTATAATATACCATGGCATAGTATATAATAGCACATTTTAGGATGTAGTATACTTTAAGCAGCACATTTTCCCTATAAATTTATATTTTATATGTAAATATAATTTTTCTCCCAAGGCTTCTTAAACATCTGTGTATATATGTGTGTGTATTTCATAAATTTTCAAGTAAGACCTTCTGAAGGGTAACCCTGTATCATTAAATGGCTAGTTTCTCATAAAAACTCACATATATTATTTGTATGTAATCAGGAAAGAAGAATGAGGCAATAAAGTAACAATACTGCTCCTATAGCCACACATTTAATGTACGGCTACACATATCACATAGGTTTGTATTATGTTGAGGTAGTTGCGATAGGTGGCAGTAACATCTTTGATAAATGAAGAAGCTGGAATTCAGAAGAGATCACATATTTCTTCAAGGTCACACAACTTATAAATTGCAGATTCAGCAATTCAGATACTGATGTAACTGACCTAAAGTCCATTTTCTGCTATAAGCTGAATTGAATCCTTAAACTGAGCATAGATGGCCAAGAAGGAATAATATTCCATAATTATAAATGAGACTGTTTTTGAAGGAACAATGTCTAATCTTTACAGAACACTTATCTGCACTCATTGTCTTATTGATAAATTTACATAAATTTCTCATGTTGGGGTCATAACAATGTTATGTTGTGGCTATCTTACTCATTTCCATTTTATATTTTAGGAAACAGGTTTACAACGGTTCTTGTGAATACTGCTACTAAGAACATTATCGTAGACCCCATCTCAAGACCGGTGCATGGGTGTCTTAGAGGGGGAAATTCAACTCATTAGTGAGAGAATCATTCTTTTTCATGGTAATGGCAGAGATTGATTCCTGCATCCTAAAGCAATGAGTTACCAGTGTTTGGAGAAGAAGTTGGGTATAAAGTATGCTGTAGAGTTTCAAAAATAAGTCTTTAAACCAGCCAGCCCTTGAACTATAGCCCTTCCCTAAATTAATGACTATAGCCATGGTTTTATTACACTTAATTAGATAATGTGAAAAATGCTATAAACATAGGAATGGGTTTATATTTAGTTTCATTTTCTTTCTCTAGATTAGGGTTTCCCAGTAGTTTCTGAAAATATATCCTTGAGGGATAGCCATAATTTTTGTAACTTTTTTGCATTTTTTTTATTATGTTGTTGCTCTAAAAATGTTGGGAATCAGATGTCAACAAATGATACTACTATCTGCTATAGCCAAATTCTGAACAATTACGGACAGAACATAGAAGGCAATCAGTTGGCGATCAATAATAGTGAATACTGTTCTTGAATACATACAATTTCTAAGCATTTAATGTGTGTTAGCACATGTCTATTGTGCAGAAGCTGGAAGAAGGAGATTATAGAATCAGATCCATTTTACATTTGAAGAAACTAAGACACAATGTATTTTAAAAACTTTCCTAAAGTCACACAGCTAGTCGACATAGGGGGCAAGATACCACACCCAGGTCTGCAGAGACTTAACTCTGGATCTGTTCAATCCTGGCTGGAGGATGGGAAACCTAGGGGGATATTGTTGACTGGCTGTCCCAACACTTCCCCAGTCTTCACAACTGTAAGTCTGGGCAGACTCTCTATTTGGTTATAGGATAGCAACTAGAATACGCCTTCTCTGCAAGCTGGCCAATCTGGAAATGAAGAAAGAAGAGGCTAAAATAAGTATGCCTCAGTTTCTTCTACCAATCTAACTAGTCGAGTAAAGTCAACCCTGTCCAGGAAGGAACCCCCCTCACTTTAATAAATAACAAGAATACCTTATAACGATATTTTTATTTCATTTGTGCTTTTGCCCAGGCTACAACATGTATTGTTCATTTCACGGACTTGGGCTTATGAGGGAAGAAGAGAGGCTGACTTTACATGGAAATTGATGCACATCAATTTAAAATTTTATATTGGCAAAAATATGACATCATGGGCGCATATAAATCAACCAACACAGTGTTCATAGATGTTAAAAGAAGAAAACTTGGTGGGAGAAATGAATCACAGTATGACACATAAAATGAATATGCTAAACTAAAAAAAAAAAAAGATTCACAAAGAAAATGACAGTTTAATTTCGATAAAAGATCACTTCATATAAATGCATATTTTTTGAATTTTGCTCCTTTTTTAACGTAGTTTTTGAAATATGCTTAGGATTATAACTGTATGTAAGCTAAATATTAAGAAAGTCATACCACATTTTATTTTTAAAAATATTTAATTAACATTGTGATGAAGCTAATTAAGTAAATCCTGGTGACAAATTATTTTTTACTTATTCAGGAGAGCTCTGTGAATAACTCAGATAGGAATAAAGTAATTTTAACCTTAATTTGAAAGTTCATTTAAGGCCAATTTGTATTTATTATTGTGTTCATTATCTGTTCTGGATTCTTCATAGGGATAACTTCAGTCATTTCTCAATGACTCTTGTTTTGGCATGATACACCTAATCACACACATTATTTCAGATGATTTGCTCATCAAATGCTTAAGTATTCATTTTATAAAAAATAAAACTAGTTTTTAAATTTTTATCAGTGTTGAAAGACTGTTCTAAAAGTGGGTATATTAGTTTTCTGGGGCTGCTGTATCAGTACCACAAACTGGGTGGCTTAGAGCAATGGACATTTATTGTCTCACAGTTCTGGGGCAGGAAGTCTGTGACCAAGGTATCAGCAGGGTTGATTCCTTTTGAGGACTGCAAAGAAGAATCTGCCCCATACTTCTCTACTAGCTTCTGGCAGTTTGCTGGCAAGCTGGCATTCCTTGGCTTATAGATGATGTACAACTTTGATCTCTGCATTTGTCTTCACTCAGCATTCTCCTTGTGTGTATCTGTATTCATTATTATTTATAGGAGGACACTGTTCACATTGGAGTGGACTAAGTCCTTCCTCTAACTTAACCACTGCATCTGCAGCAACTAACTCTATTTTCAGTGAATGGCATACTCTGGGATAGTAGGGGTTTGGAATTTTTATGTGTGTGTGTGTGTGTGTGTGTGTGTGTGTATATATATATATATACACACACATTCACATATGTATATATAGACTGAATTGTCTCCCTCTCAAATCCATATGTTGAAGTCGAAACACCTAGTAACTCAGAATGTGACAATATTTGGACACAAGGTCTTGAAAATGGTGATTAAGTTTGAATTAGGTCATTAGAGTGGACCATAAACATGTATGTTTGGTACACTTATAAGAAGTGGAGATTAGGACAAAGATATATACAGAGGGAAGACCGTGTGAAGATGCCAGGAGAAAACTGGCAGCTATAAGCCAAGAAAACAGACCTGCACAGAAACCAACTGTGCCAACCCTGCCAAATATGTTGACCTCAGACTTCTAGTCTCCAGAATTGTGAGAAAATATATTTCTGTTGCTTAAAACACCAAGTCTGTGGTGCTTTGT